>NC_000004.12:136194108-136497138 GCF_000001405.40 Homo sapiens | reverse complement strand
AAGAAATGAATATCAAAAGTGAGATTGTACTCCATGAGTTTTGTCTAGTACAACTTTATTCACTTTATTTTCAGTCTTTACATTCATTTTTAATAGTGTATAAATCAGAAACAGAGCAGCATAAAAAGAAAGTCATCTTTGAAGATTCACATTTGGGAAAATAAAGCATTTATTCTATCTTCTCAATCCAAGCAACTTTTAACCTTTTATCTCTCTCTCTCTTATTTTTTTTTTAAGATTTTGCAAGTTTATTAGTTAGAGTCCCCCAAGTTATGCTTCAGTGACACAACAACCAAAGCTTGTTACTCAATTCTGCCACATGTCCATGGAAGGCAGAAAGGAGCCCCGGCTCCACTGCATCTTCAATATGGGAGAGTATGGTGAATCACACCCTGTTTTTTTTTCCAAAATTCCACCTAGAAGTGAAAGTAACCACTCCTGCTCACATGTCATTGCCCAAAATGAATCCCATAGACACATTCAACTTCAAGTGTAATGAAAATGCAATTACATGGCAGGAAAGAGAAGAAATACTTGCGAGAGAATATACATCTTCTATCAACAATGTAAAATAATAAATATCAGTGATATAAGTGATCCTTAAAATGTTGACAAAAAGAAAATTAAACAAAATAGAATATTAATCCAGTATTTCACATATCATAAAGATAGCATCAAAATATGAAAAACCTTAACAGAATACATTTTTATCTTAATTAAATACTTTGGATTAATCTTCTAGTTTTTGGTCATTGGGTTTTATGCCATGCTCTATTAAATACAATTGTCATATGGGAACAGTTTCAGCAAATAAAAATTACTTAATCTCTGTGCATACATATGCAACTAAATTATCATTTGTGCATAAATTTCCTTTTGCTCAGAACTAGAAGAGTGGGCTTTGTTCCTAGGGTTTTATAAAAAATATAGGTACATGGAATCTATTCTTTTTTAAATGCATATTGTTGGAGCAGAAAAATGGGGTTGTCTCTCTATGACATATGCTTGCTACATCTTACATCTCCAACAATCTCTCATTCAAGCACTTTGAAACACATTCCTGTATGTCACCTCAGAGGGTAGCATCATGCAATCAGGACACAATGATGCCAGATGTATTTTGACTTCTGAATAGGCCCTGTAATTAGGTTTGGCAAGAATAACTGCAAAAATTGTCTTTTCTCATGCCAATAAAGAAAACAAAGCCTATATTTTGGTTAATCTTAGTCTCCAATATTATAAAACTTAATAGAAAAATGCATTGAATTAGTTTTAAACATATTCAGTTATTACGTTTTTAATATTTTATTCAAGAAAATTAATTTTAAGTTATACTTCTCTTGTGTATCAGTACAGGATATATCTCTAACTGAATACATTAAAATAATTTTTGAATCTTATTAAACTAGACACTCATAAAGATTGTATTCCTATTTTAATTTTTACAAAAATACAAATATATAAACAGTTTACCTTAAAAGTATTTTCTTAGAATTTTGGAATAAAAATTATAAATAAATGCAGAGATAAAATGAGTGTTTAAAATTTTTAAAATAGATTAACTCTTGAACATATTTGGAGATCTCAAAATATTTCATGAATAGTACATTTATCTAAAAACATCAATTAAATAGCTTTCTCTATTTGAAAAATACATATGATTTAGTGATACCCTCAAACGATTACCTGTGGTAAATTATGTTATTTTCTCAAAAAAAACTAAACTTTTCTTGGATGTCTCTGTGTAGAATTTTTAGCACAGTTGTTCATGCTGTTTTTTCTTAAGCTGAAAGATGTCACTGCCAGGTCTTAAACACAAGGAGCAGAATGCCAGTGAGAACAACTTGCCCAATATCTGTCAAATTAGGCCAAGCATGGGCCAGTGCCCGGAATCCATGAAGAATGCTCTAAAGGTCGGGACATCAACTAACTGCAAAAAGCCCAGAATTGCCTTTTAAGGAGTTTAAAGTACACTTATCTCCTTTCACATGCAAAAAAAGGAATCTGTATTTCTAGTCTATCTGAAATTAAAATGAATATTGATGACTTGCTTAGAAGTTACATACTTTTTTTTTTATTATACTTTAAGTTTTAGGGTAAATGTGCACAACGTGCAGGTTAGTTACATATGTATACATGTGTCATGTTGCTGTGCTGCACCCATTAACTCGTCATTTAGCGTTAGGTTTATCTCCTAATGCTATCCGTCCCCCCTCCCCCGACCCCACAACAGGCCCCGGTGTGTGATGTTCCCCTTCCTGTGTCCATGTGTTCTCATTGTTCAATTCCCACCTATGAGTGAGAACATGCGGTGTTTGGTTTTTTGTCCTTGTGATGGTTTGATGAGAATGATGGTTTCCAGCTTCATCCATGTAGAAGTTACATACTTTAGGTAGTATTATCACTCAATAAAAATGCTATGCCATAATTAAAGAGATAATATAATCAATTTCTGTTTCAGGATTACTGGAACATTCTTCAAGCAGTTAAAACCCCTCCAAAAAATCTTTAGTTAAAAATGTACAGTAAATAACTCTTAGCCTGTTGAATACAGAAGATATTAATTATTTCTCTAGCACTAAAATCAACAGAGGACAGGAATGCTCTGATTGAAAATAAGATTTTGTGTCACTGTATATGAAACAATAATTTAATTTCTAGTATCCAGAGAGACCAAAGATGCTGCCTTCACTTTTTTTCCTCCTCTGCAACATATACAAAGAATAAATGACAGATATTTTTAAGCTACACATTTAACGTGAAAATAATAGACATGATCAAAGTGTTTCTTTTTATGTAGCTGTTTCTCGACTGAGTGCTAACAAACAAGACAATGAAACAGCTAGCACAGAAAATATGTGCAGGATAAAGTGAGGGAAAATAGGTAACGGAATCTCCAATAAATGTATCAATTAAAACAAATTATAAAGATGCATTCATATAACAAGCATTGATATTTGACTGTTTCATAATTTTCAATGGTTTTAAATAACATCTTATTTATAACAGAAAAATTGGAACTGTTTTTATTGTATATGTCTTTTTACATGTTTTCTAATTGCTGGTATATTTTTAATGCCAATCATTTGAGCTTTTCTCATTTCCTGTGAGGATCAAGTTACAATAAAATATTGTTCACTGGGTTTGCTAAGATGTTGCTAAACATGACTTAGAGCATAGACCATTCATATTAGTGAAGAAATATACTGGCTAGACATAAAATCAGAATGATGAAATTGGGAGATACTGTCCTGTAATTTTTAAAAAGCATATAAGTTTTATATTTTTTCCTAATTTGGCTTTCTGGAAATTACTAAAATTGAAAAGTTACATTGTCATGAGACACATGGGAATTTTTAAAAATTAATAGATAGCAGATAAAAGTGTTGAGTAATTATTTTAATGTTTAAATATATTAAAATGCAAGCAGGTGCACAACAATTTTATTGTATTTAGTAAAAAAGCCATTTGGCTGTCTAGAGAAGGTGAGAAACTATAACTGTAACTTGGATATGTCTTCAATTATTTTTGCTATAAGCTTCTTGTTAATTAATAATGCCTTCTAATAAATAAAATTTTGGTATATCATTTAGTAAATAATATATTATACCTATTAAGCTGCTTAGTGATTTACATTTTGTAAATATGGAAATAAATTGGCTTTGAATTGTAGATAAAATTTAATATTTAAAATATTAAAGAAAGATTTAAGCAATAGGATATTAAAGATTTGTTTAAATAAAATATTACAAAGGATGAAACTCTGAATCACAAATAAACATTGCTAGAAGACATTTTATTTTCTGGAAACAGTCTTGATTGGCTTAAAAATACATTTTTACAGGTTCTATGAGTTTTATTTTCTATTAAAAGACAACAAGTTCTGTATTTAGAACATCACGGGGACAAAATTAACAAGCTAGTCTCATTTAACATTCCACTAAATGTTTACATAAATTTTCAAGGCAATCGATGGGTATTCTAATGGTGGGAAGCAAACAGCTCCCTAGAAATAGTAAAAAAAAAAAAATCACTTTTTTAAGTCTCTAATTAATCAAACAGAAATGATGTAATTGTACTAATTTCTAGATTAAATTAGTATAAATTTTCTTGAATTACTTACATTAACTAACCTAATTAATTTGCCCATGTTCTCTTTTGTAAATTTGTAAGATTTTAAAATCCCAAATAACCCTAAAGAAAAGTTCTTTTTAGCGTAGTTCTTAATTCTTCTCAATTATAGTTCCAATGATGTTAACAAGTAAGGCTGAACTTCATAAACTAGTACAGCTACCGAAAATTTTCAGAAATGCACTGACAAACTTTCAGATAAACTTTTAGTTTTAAATGAAAAGAAATGCATTAATTTAAAATGATAGATTTAACTTAGATGGCGCAATACATTTAATTATATATGGTGTAAGTAAGAGTGTAGAACATTTATATTTTGTTCTTCTATGTTTATATGCCAACATTAAACTGTTAGTTTTTCTAATCATTCTTTTCATATCAGAATATTTTTCAAGAAAGACCATAATCCAGTTTCACCAGTTGAAGAACAAAGTTAATTAAATACTTCAAAACTTCAGTAAAAAAATATTTGACTTGGAAAATATTAAAAATAGAAACATTGCAAACAGCCAAATATTTATTTCCAGCTTCATTCATCAAACCATTCATCACGTGTGTGGGTGTGCTCACGTGCATGTGGAGTACTTTTTATTTTTCAGAGCATTCAAAACACTGTCAAATCATTTTTAAACAAAATTTACATTTATAAACACTTCCCCAAATTGATCAGCTTTCCCTCTTGTGCATAATTGGGTGGTAAGGTACATACTTCTGGGTATATGTATGATATGTTATTCACTACCATATCCCCGTTCAGAACAATACTCTCTTTGCAGCTCTCTAATGAAGGACAACATCCGATTTTTCACAACTGAAACATAACAGGCCCCTGACCTGCCCACAAGAGAGTTTTACCCAGATTTAGTCTTGCTGTTGATGATATGTAACCATCCTCAATTACTTGCTTTTGCTAATCCCAGGCTTCACTGTCAGTAAAATAAGAAAGTCTGACTAAATGATCTTCAAAGATTAATATATGTTATATCCATCTTATGAAATGAAAACATTTCAGTTTCCATGCTCTTAGTCACCCACCCTCCTTTCTTTACTTTTTGCTTTGTTTTGGTTATTGGCAATGTCCGGATACTATTGTATTGTGCATGAGGAGGCACATTTTCGTTTTCGGTTAACCTATATAAGAATGTAATAAACGGTGCACTTGTCTTTCAAGTCGCCAACTTGACCCTTTTCCAAGTGAACTTTCTTGCCTTCTTTTCATTCCTGCTTTAAAGATTTTCAATAAACTTTCATTCCTGTGCTAAATAAAAGGAAATAATAAACATATTCTTGTATCTCTATTTTTTAATTTGATGTCTAAGATTTCTATTAATCTAATAATTTTATATTAAAATAGTACAAATATGTGGTTTGAAAAATCAAATAGTGGCATAAATTTATAAACAATAGTAAGTAACACTTGTCCTATTCCTCCTCTTCCCTCCCTGGCATCTACTTTTGACCCTTTTAGTTGTTTCTTCTGAAATTTAACTACAGAATATATATATATATATATATATATAGACACACACACACACACACACACACACACACACATATATATATGCAATATATGCTAGCTGAATGATAGTCACGTATTGATCTTTTCATTTCAGAGTATATCTACCAAATTCTTATTCTATTATCAAAGATAAGAATTTCAGTTCTTTACTATTGAGCTATTTACCTATGACATTGTGCAGTTGATGCTAAACTTTAAGTCAGAGGAAGTAATCATTGTCAAAATCTGTAAAATGAAAGAAAACCTCAAGACAACATGAGTCTCGATATGACAGTTTCTCACGTGTCAACATGAATATAAAACTGATGATATTCCAACGTTGTATCCGCTCTTGTTTGGCAAAACAAAACATAATCACCACAAAAAACTAAGTACCTAATTTAAGGGTATAAAATGCATGTGTAGTATTCTGTGTAGTGGAATACAAGTGTAAAAGAACATGGACTTATGGATTGGAAAATCATGATCATTATCATAAAACTGTTCTGAAAATAAATATGAACTTCAGAAGTAGATATTTAAGAGAGAAGTTTCCCACTAGAATGAAGAAGCTAACGTTGACCTCAATCTAATGACTTTTATGTAGGGAGAAAACAGGTTATTAGCGAACATTTTTTCTTGCAGGCTCTAAAATATGTTTTCTGTACTGTTGCTCACTAAATAAGGTAAGTATCATTTTATTTTCCTTTTTAATAGCAACCTACAGGTGACATCTTCAGTTTTCCTGAAAATATTTATATGAAAACGATCACATTTCTGGGGGGACAAATGAGTTTCTGTTCTAAGTAAACTGTGTTTGTTTGCATTAACAAATGTCCTTTTTGGCTTAATTTAATATTCCCATGTTTACTTTCCTTAAGAAGGCAACTGGAATTTCAAAAATATCCCTATTTTATACATGTATATATATATATATTTCTGTCCATCTGTCTATTATCTATTAATCCATCATCAGCAGTCTATTCTTGATATACATAAATGATATTATTGATTAAAATTTTGGTTTGAACACATATGTCTCAACTATGTATGACTAACAGTCCTTTCCAGAGTGAGCACATGTGCAGAGAATGCTTCGATCTGTGGCTGTTGCAGAGCATGTAACAAATGATCTACCCCTTAAATGTGCCATCAGCCCCCAAAGTCAGAAGAGTTACTCTGTTCTTGCCATGCTAGACGTCTTCTTGTATTCTTCCTACTTTCCCTTCCCTGTCTACATCCTGGAGAGTCTCAGCCTAGGATGATATTAGAAAATTGACTTCAGTGGATACTTACTTCTCATTAGAAAATTGACTTTAGTGGATACTTACTTGTCATACGTAGCTTGAATGAGCTATGGAGTGATGTTGCAGCTCATGTGTTAATACCGCATTAGCTCTTCCATAGTTAATGTTTTTAAGTACTTACAAGAAAACTACTCTGGAAGCAAAATGTCAACTTCATTTCTCTGTGCATGATTCAGGCTTGGTGGTATATTATCACTATACTAATGACCAACTTCCAAATTTTTTTAGAAAAACAGTGGTTCAGGGCAGGAGCAGTGGCTCACGCCTGTAATCCCAGCACTTTGGGAGGCCGAGGTTGGTGAATCACAAGGTCAGGAGATCGAGACCATCCTGGCTAACATGGTGAAACCCTGTCTCTACTAAAAATACAAAAAAAATTAGCCGGATGTGGTTGCACACACCTGTAGTCCCAGCTACTTGGGAGGCTGAGGCAGGAGAATTGCTTGAACCCAGGAGGCAGAGGTTGCAGTGAGCCGAGATCACGCCACTGCACTCCAGCCTGGGTGACAGCAAGACTCGGTCTTTAACAAAGGAAAAAAAAAAAAAAGGAAAAGAAAAAAAGTGGTTCAAACTGCTTCTAATTGGTATGAACATATTTTTTTCTGTTAAGTAAAATTAATTTTCATGTAGAGAAGCTGCTGGTAGACTTTAAAAACAATCTCTCTACTACTGAATCAATATATTGAAAACTTATCTAAATTTTCCAGATAAAGATAAGATTTTACAATGATGTTTTCTCCGGAAATGAAAATGAAATTCTAGGTATCATAGCCACCGCACCCACCCATTCCCGCAAAAAAAAAAAAAAAAAAAAAAAGTGAGGTTATATACAAAGATACGGGGGGGAGTTTATGTCTTCCATAGTATAAAAAAATATTGCAGTGTATACACAAGAACTTTGTACTTTGTTGTGAGTTAATGTGTGAAGTTTACAATCACTGAGTAGCTGTAAAGAAATTAAACTAAAACACTGTTTCTAATTGTGTTTTAATCCAATGACATCTTTGTTAGTTTACAAATTTTATCAGCTATAACCTCAGAAATACATATACCTGGTTTATGTTCTGTGAACTAGTCATCATTATAGAGAGTAGAATCTGAACTTTAAAAAGTCATTGAGAAGAATGAGACATTCAATGTCTTATATATATTATATATATTTATAATATAATGTTGGTTTCATATATATATATTAGTTACAACTTATTTTCCATACTCTAAAAGAAATTCATATAATTTTATCCTCTCTGTGCAACAGAATAAAAGCAAGCAGTTTATTTTATTATTATTACATTAAGATAATGTCACATAAGCATGCTGTTCTGGACATTTTCTTACAGCCCTCCCCCTCCCCCCACAGACTGTCTTTCCATTCTCCTCCACCCTGCTTTGTGACCTGGAACAGTGTCCTTCAAGGGACTACACCATCTGGGCTGCACCAAGCCTGGGAGATGCACCAGCAGATCTTCTTCTAAAAGGCAGGAGGAGAGGACAGCCAGAGTCTTCATACCCTGGTTCCTGACTATGTAGCGCGTCTATAGCCAATGCTGTGCGGCCCTCTTCAAAGTGCTCTCTCTTATAAGTTCTGCCACTTGCTACCTCCCCATGTCTGCCATGGTGGCACAGTCACCATCCATCTACCCATGACTGCTAGACATGCATCATTCTTTCTTGGTTTCCCTTAGATCTTTCTAAAATTATTCTTCATTGAACTCTGACAAATTATCCCTTTTGAGTGAGTCATAGCTGCCCTTTATGAAGTCTAAATATTGAGCTAAACTGAATATTTGTGGCACAAAATTATTTATAAAAATAGAAAATATAATTCTAACTAAGATAAAATTTTGTTTGGAAATTATAAGTACAGCTATAAAAATGTTTACATTTGGTCATTTTACCTAATAAATACACACGTAAATTGATATGATTTGGATATTTGTCTCCATCCAAATCTCATGTACAAATGAAATTCCCGATGTTGGAGGTGGGGCATGGTAGGAGGTGTTTGGGTGATGGAGGCGGATCCTTCATGGTTTGGTGCTGTCCTTGTCATAGTGAGTGTGTTCATGCAAGATCTGGTTCTTTGAAGATGCGTGACACCTCCCCACCCCCTTGTTCTTGCTTTTGCCATGTGACATGTCTGCTACCCCTTCACCTTCCATTATAAGTAAATACTTCCTGAGGCCTCGCCAGAAGCTAAGCAGACCAGATGTGGGTGCCATGCTTCCTGTACAGCCTGCAGAACTGTGAGCCAATTAAACCTCTTTTCTTTATAAATTACACAGTCTCGAGTATTACTTTATAGCAATACAAGAATGACATAATACATAAATACAATATTTTTATAATTTTTAGCACATAATATGTTTGTATAAAAGTAATCATATATATTTAAACATGATAGGTTCTT
The DNA here is from genome assembly GCF_000001405.40 of Homo sapiens. Taxonomy (NCBI): domain Eukaryota; kingdom Metazoa; phylum Chordata; class Mammalia; order Primates; family Hominidae; genus Homo; species Homo sapiens. Next base: position 136,487,792 of record NC_000004.12, on the reverse strand, counting down.
GTTCTTTAGTAATTATTGCCTAAAAGAGCACCATGTCTAAAATAATATCCTTATAGTTCCAAGTGTCTATTTTCTAATAGTTTGCTATTAGTAAGACTTAAGGTTTGCATGTATGTCTGAAAAGAAACACAAAAAGATTCTGAGCACACATATTTATGCCCTTTATTTTCACATTTCTGTGTAGTTAATTATAACACTCTATTACAAACACTTATTATATACAGTTTTTCGTTGGTGTAGGTATTTTATATACGTATTGAGGATACAGAGATGAGCAAATCTCCTTCATCAAGGAACTCAGAGCCAAGTGTGTTAGTGAGGGAAACATGTACAAAATAACACCCAAAACACAAAGATAGAGGAACCGATTATACACAAATTATATGTGTTGTAAAATTGCAATAAAGTCTTAGTAGTTGTATAATAGTAGCAGCTCTATCAGCACCCTCTGTTATTGCTTCTGTCTCTGGTTCTTAGATCCATGGAGAGTTGAAGTGTTCTACAGGCCCATCCTTCCTACCCATTCTCTAGATGGCCCATTTGTCTCTGTTGCTTCAGACAGAATATTTAGTGGTCATATTTATACCATTTTAAGGAATAAAATATCAGTTTGGAATTAAAGGCTCAAAGTATGTGTAGAGGAAATCCCATATGGATCCCAAATTTGCCTGATAGTTTCATCACAGCAGGCATGAGAAAGTACTAAAATTTTTAAAGAAAATAGATTAAAATAAAAGCAAATGACCAAAGAGAGCAATCAGTGAGATTCCTGAAATGGCCATTATCTCTCAATTAAAATGCAAGACATGTTACCAAAAGCTATTCTTAAGAGTGATTTATATTCAATAATACTTTCGATGTCAGATTTCAAATTACATTATTTTCTACAATTACCACTAGTTTTAAAGGCAAAACCTTCTAGAATAAAACTTTTATAGACAGAGTTTATATTAATGCACTAAAATTGTGGAATATAGGTTTATATTTTGAATGAAATTTTAAAATACTTTTTTTAATAAAACAAAAATATATTTTAAGTGGGCATGATTTAGGAATAAGCTTGGATTAATGAGTTTACAAAATTGTAAAAATACCTGAAGTCATTAGGTTACTTAATTTAATTAACTTTATGAAACCCAAATTAAGTATTATAAGCTTGTTGAAGAAAGTAGAATAGCATGGGATTAATAAAGAGCTTTTAATAATTAACATTTTCCTCTCGTCTTTATTGTACAAAGTGACACCTTTATCTCTGGCATACATAGCTGGGTGGACGGGGCTGCCTTTTACTTAGAAGCACAAAAATGGAAAAGGGACAGACTTTGGAGTACAGAATCATGTGTTCAGCTGGGTCATGCAGAGTATGAAGTGCTTTGAGGCATTCAAGAAAAGATGTCAAGCAGGAAGCTGGGAGCAGGATTCTGAATTTGTGAGGAAATATTTCTTGACCATTTCTGTACAGTTAATTTTATGTGAAAACTTGGCACCCATACACATCTCCTTAAGTATATTTAATCATCAAATAAAGACAATAACAAAGTTCTACTTCCACCTAACATGATGAAACTATCATGTATACAACTGTAACAAACAAACCCTTTCCCCCATAAGACAATGCAAATTTCTTTGGGTGATGCTTAGTCTTCTTCTTTATGTCTCATAACTGAAATAATGTGATGTAAAGACAACAATACTGTGGAGGCCGAGGCAACTTCATCTTAGATGCTAATCTACCATGTTGACTTCAACTAAGCTCAGTTCCAGGAATGCCCCTACGATTTCTATTTTATCTGCTCTTCTTTGTGTAACACCGTAAGTTCTGCCCTTAGGTCAAAACAACCTTGATGTTATTGTACTTACCATAATTCCTGCCCTTAAGCAGTAGTCATACACATCCCTTCTGAAGCTCATATAATATGTCCATATGCCACATAAGTCCTGGGTCTAAGGAGTAACAGTGCAAGGATCCATCATCTTATCTAACAACCCCCTGACTATGGCTTCTGTTTGTAAGTCCCTGTTAAATGTTTCTAAGAAACTGGATTTGTCAGCCTCTTTCTTTGGCCTTGGCCTTTGGGGGTAGATTTGCTTAAACCTGATCACTGTGGAACAAATATGTAAAAACTGTCATAAAAAGTGAACACATCTTATGTTACAAGATAAGGAGATGAGAGGAAAGCAACATGGTTCTACTCACCAAAGCCTGCCTCGCTACATGCACTTCTGGACAATTAGCCAGCAGTGGAGATCAATGTTGAGTCCCGGATATGACATTATTCCCCAGGGTGATCAACCAGCTGTCTAGTGGCAGGTGGATTACCTGATTGCTTTGGACAACTTCCATCATGGGAGAAGAAGTGTTTTGTTTTTACAGGAATAGACACTTAACAGTGGGTACAAATTTGCCTTCCCTGAATGCAATGCTTCTGTCAAAACTATCATCTTTGAATTTACAGAACGTCTAATCCATTGTTGCTGTATTCCACCCAACATTGCTTCTGATCAAGGAACTTACTACACAGTCAATGAAGTGTGGCAATTGGCTCATGCTTATGGAATTCACTGATCTTATCATGTCCTCTCTATTCTAAAGCAGCTGGCTTAATAGAACAATGGAATGGCCTTTTTGAAGACTCAGTGATAGCACTAACTAGGTGATCATTCCTTGCAGGGCACAGCAAAGTTATCTAGGAGGCTGTATACACTGAATCAACATGCAGTATATGGTGCTGTCTCTCTTATACCCAGAATGTTTCCGTTTAGGAATCAAGTGGAAATGGTGGTGGCAATACACAATATTACCACAAGTGACCTGCTAATGAATGTTTGCTTCTTGTCTCTGTACCCTTATGCTCTGCTGGCATACAGGTCTTCATTCCAAAGACAGGAATACTTCCACTAAGAAACACAGTGATTACATTGAACTGGATATTAAGACTCTCCCAGACCCTCAGCCACTTTGGGCCCCTCACACCTCTAAATGAACAGGCAAAGAAGGGAGTTACTGCACTGATTAAGTGATTGTTCCTGAATACCAAGGGCAAATTGGATTGTTACTGCACAATGGAGGTAAGTAACAGTATATCTGAAATACAAAATACCCATTAGGGAATCTCTTAGTACTAAATTGCCATGCCCTGTGATTAAAGTGAACGGAAGAGTACAACCATGTGATTTAGACAGAGCTACTCGTGGCGCAGACCCTTCAGAAATGAAGATTTGGGGATTTAATTTACCTCATCAGGTAAAGAACCAGAAGCAGTTAAGGTACTTGCTGGGGAAAAGGTAATATGGAATGGGTAGTGGAAGAAGGTAATTATAAATACCAGCTAAGACCACATGAGCAATAACAGAAGTGAGGACTGCAGCTGTTATGAGTATTACATTCTTATTTTGTTAGGAATATGGTTGTGTTTGTGTCTGCATATATATCAAATATCTTTGTTTTCTTTCCTCACTTATCCCTTTATCATATAAGATCTATTGACTTTATATCATGGTATTTAAATATTGTTAACTTTATATTACGATATTTAATTTATGGGATATAGAAAAAAGTAAACATCACCAAGAGCTTTGTATCCTCTTCTGGGGAAAGAGTTAGTGCATTTTTGGTTGTACGTAGGATAGTTAAATTATGTTAGGTGGAAGTATGACCTTGCTATTGTCTTTATTTGAAGATGAGGTATGGTTTAAGTAGCTGTATACGGGTGCCAAATTGACAAAGGGTGCACTTATAATGGTTAATTTTATGTGTTAATTTATCTAGGCCATGGTACCTAGAGATTTCATCACACATTCTAAATGTTTCTGTGAAGGTATGTTTTAGAAGAGATTAACATTTAAATCAGCGGCCATTTTGAGTAAAGCAGGTTACCAGAATCTAGAATGGAGGTAGGCCTCATCCAACCAGTTGAAGGCCTAAAAAGAAAAAGACTGACCTCCTCAAGAGGTTTTCCCCAAGAGAAAAATTCTGCCAGCCAACTGTCTTTGAATTAGAGCTGCAATATAAACTCTTCCTTGGGTCTCCAGGCTGCAAGCCTACCTATAAACCTATAAGCCTCCACAATTGAATGAGCTAATTTCTTTTCTTTTCATTTCTTTTCTTTTCTTCTTTTTTTTTTTTTAAGACAGAGTCTTGCTCTGTCACCCAGGCTGGGGTGCAATGGCGTGATCTTGGCTCACTGCCGCCTCTGCTTCCCGAGGTCCAGCGATTCTCCTGTCTCAGCCTCCCGGGTAGCTGGAATTACAGGCATGCGCCATCATGCCTGGCTACTTTTTGTATTTTTAGTAGAGGCGAGGTTTCACCATGTTGGCCAGGCTGGTCTTGAACTTCTGACCTCAAGTGATCCACCCACCTCATCCTCCCAAAGTGCTAGGATTACAGGTGTGAACCACTGCACCCGGCTGCTAATTTCTTAAAATAAATACTAATCCTCATCCCTCTGTCTCTTTCTTTGTAAATAGATAGATGATAGAAGATAGAAAGATAGATAGATAGATAGATAGATTGATAGATAGATAGACGATAGATAGATAGATGTGTGTGTACATCCTACACCCTATTGTTTGTTTTCTTCCCCCTCTGGAGAACCCTAACTCAATTCTTTTACCATTGATGTGCAGTGCTATTTCCATCATGTATCATATATCATATATGCTTGGAGGAATATGAATTTTGAGTTCTATTCCATTTAGCCAGTTTAAACTACTGGCTTGATAATAAACTTTTTCAAAGTTCCATGGCTATTTTTGACTTTTACAATTCCATTAGGATTATAGTATCAGCTTGTCAAGCTATGCTAAAATTCCTGGTGAGATTTTGATTAGAATGCCAATGGACTTTTTAACTTGGAGAACAAACTCTCCCATTTCATCCATCTGTTAACTTTTCCTCATTGTAGGTCTCCTCATATGGTTTGTAAACATTGACTGTGAGCTCACTGTGAGAGTAGTTTTCATGAGAGCCCCATGAGTCTTGGCTTTTGAAAGATCTATAAAGGAAAATTTTATATTTTTTCCATGATGAAACCACCAGGGCCTTCAGCTTTTGAAATCATAGTTTTTTATATGAATTTCTCAACTTACTATTCACAAAATACTGGAGAGGTGTGAATTTGATAACCACATCTGCCTGAAACTTCTGACCCCTCAAGGGTAACTTTTTATGTATTTTTTTAGCCTCGCACCTGAAGGAGTACAAGATTCCTTGGTACTTTCCTAAACTGATGAGTGGAATTCACATTCCTTTTCACATACCACTATGACTTCTGCTGTTCTGTTGGCAGGTTTGTTTCAAGTTCCATTTTATTTGAGTCTTGATTTCTGAAATCCTTGATTTACATGGATATCAAGACCATAGCCGCTTGCCTTTACTTGGTTCAGAAAATGCCAAAATACATTTATACTTCAGCTCCTGCAGAATAGAAGTCCTTGTATTTCCTATGATTTAATTGACTATAATTGATAAATATATAATTCCCTATTTTATATTTGATTTCTTAAAATCTGCTCTTGGGTTAATTATCTATTTCAATTATTTTGCAGTGGTAATTTAGCATGGTAGTGAAGAAGATGACTTTGAAATGATCATGGAGACTGCATAAAATGTCTAGGGTCCAGTAAAGGAACACTACATTATTCCCTTGAACTCAATTTTTCTCATTTATAAAATGGAAATAATGAAAAAATAGTTTTGGATATTATGTGATATGTGTAGCACTTTAAAACTATTTTAGAACATATTATACACTTAATGAACACGAAACTTTATAGGCTTTCACTGATTTACTTCAAAAATATTTATATGAAGGAAGGGAGTGTGAACAAGAGTTTTAAAAATATTGAGTACGTAGAAATGGAAGATATAAACCAATTAAACACCTTTTTAATTTGAGAAAGGGTCTCAGTTTGTTGCCCAGGCTGGAGTGCAATGGTGCAATCTTGGTTCCCTGCAATCATCTCCTAGGCTCAAGCAATCCTTCCACTTCAGACTCCTCAGTAGCTAGGATTATAGGCGTGCACCATCAGGCTCGGTTAATTTTTTTTATTTTTAGTAGATGAGGTTCCACCTATTACCGGGGCTGGTGTCTAATTTTTATTTTTAGTAGATGAGGTTCCACCTGTTACCGGGGCTGGTGTCTAACTCCTGGGTTCAAGCAATCTGTCCACCTCGGCCTCCCAAAGTTTTGGGATTACAGGCAGGAGCCACCAAACCCCACCCCACTAAACTCTTACAAAGTCAACACACACGTATATAAATATATATATGTGTGTGTATGAATTTGCTTACATCTCTAAAGAGAGAGAAAGAATGGCTCCTAAAAGCAATTCATATATTGTGTTTCTTATGCTCAACTAAGAAAACTGATTGTTGTAATGTTTCTAAAAAGAAAAACTGAAAAACCGCTGGTGTCAAGACATCTCTATGCATGGTTCAGGTGTACTTTTGAACAGGTCTGATATTCTCTTTGTCTTAACCCACATGGAAAAAGTTTATTCCATTTTTCAAGGACCAAAACTGAAGTCCTACCAATTTATCTATAAGTGTCAGTTTCCTTGTCCAAAAAAATGAGTAATGAGGACAGGCTTCATTACAAAGAGCTATTAAGGTAATTAAGTTAGATAATGTGTTCCATGAGAACTATTTTGATGGTGAACAGTGCTTGATATTTTTGTGTCTAAATTTTTTTAATCAATTGTTCTCATCTTTGTATGTTGCTAAGATGAAGATTCTGTGAAAGTCAGGATTTTCTTCCTCCTTTTCTCCTCTCTTCTTACCTGTCTCTTTCTCTCCCTCCCTACCCCCTTCTTTCTGAACATCTGGCAGAGTCATTTCCATGTATATTTATATAGCCCTTTATCTACATGTGTGGACAATTTCATTTTATTTTGATAAATTTTTTTGCTTAAATTTTCTAACTTGCAGAATTTAAATCTTACATAATATTTTTTTCTCTTAAATTATAAGCATTTAAAACAACTGAATACAATTTTGGCTATATTATAGCATACAGTTCAGAAATTTTATGATTTTATAATTTTCATTTAATTAATAGTTAACAAAATTGATTGATGTCACAAATTATATTTTTAAAAGTATTTATACTTGGTTTTTTTGTTATTTTTGTTATTTGTTTCTCATCGTGATGTGTTTTAATTTTCTGCCAGGGAATCTGTTTCTCTCACAATTTCACTTTAAAAAATAAGCTGTTTTGTGTCAGTGTGTCACCTTTAAAAAATCAGTTTTTTAAATATTTCATAGAATAATAAAAAATAAGATATACCTCTCTTTGCAACGTTCATTTTTTAAAATATATTAATAAAATCAATCTTATGAATTGTATTTTTTATTTGATGTTTCTAAGGTTCTAAAAGTGTAGTTAATGGACTTAAGGTGGTTGTTAGAATTGGGCATTCTTATTCCTAATGAATCAACGTCTGTGGACATGAGTATCATAAATCAGGATGAGCATCATTATCCACATTTCTAAGTAATTTTCATACAAACTGACATTTGAGAATTGTGGATTCCTTTAATTTTTGACAATCAATATGTTATATAAATGTTAACATTTAAACAATGCCAAGGCAGTAGGCACATTTGGTATATTTTATTAATCGTCACAATAATATTATCGTGGTCTTGTTATTAAGGATTAGAGAGCTGGAATAATTCATACATAGTCACACTTCTAGTAAGTTGAAGGTTAGACGCATTCTCAGGTTCTTCTAGCTCCAGGGTCCTTGCTCTTAACCACTGTAAATATAATTTCTTTTCAAATAGAAACATGTAAACTGTGCCTCTATTAAAATCACACAGTAAACTATGTCTCTGTCAAAGTGTTCCTAATTTTAAGATAGATATAGTGGTTCATAACTACAAAATCTCCATTGTAAAATGTGTGATTAATGAAAATAATACAGGCCAGGTGCACTGGCTCATGCCTGTAATCCCAACACTTTGGGAGGCAGAGGCAGGGGGATTGCTTGAGCCCAGGAGTTCGAGACCAGCCTGGATAACGCGGCAAAACAAAATCTACAATCTACAAAAATACCAAAAATTAGTAGGCTGCAGAGATGTGTGCCTATAGTCCCAGGCTGGGGTGGGAGGATCATCTGAGCCTGGAAGGTCAAGGCTGCAGTCCAGCCTGGGCAATAGAGTGAGACTCTGTCTCAAAGAAAGAAAGAAAGAAAGAAAGAAAGAAAGAAAGAAAGAAAGAGAGAGAGAAAGAGAGAAAGAGAGGGAGGGAGAGAGGGAGGGAGGGAGGGAGGGAGGTAGGAAGGAAGGAAGGAAGGAAGGAAGGAAGGAAGGAAGGAAGGGTCTTTGCTCTATTTTATGCATTTCACACTAAAGCAGGTATGAATATCCCAATGCCTGTTCTTATGCCATTTGCTTTTGAGAGATCTACATTTTTATTTCACTGTGTCTTTTATAAAGAGCATATGCCTGTTTGGCTTTCCTTCCTCTGGTTTGTTAAAAAATACATAACTTTGGATATGTACATCAAAGGGGTGAATTGGTGAAGATGGAAGTACCTTAGATTGTTTTCTATTTAATATTTTACAGTGTTGCCTTAAAGATTTAAGTACTATTTGAGTGAGTCATCTGGGATCCAAGAGGCAATTTCTCACTATCTTTTTTTAATGATGCTCTTAAAATTTTACCCCTTTTTACTTTTTTGAACTTTCGTGGTATTTTAACAGGAAAATTAGAATGAACCAGAAATTATAAACAGTATTACTTAAAATATTACTGGTAGAAAGTTAATAATTTAAGTTTTAAAATTTGTGAATAATGAACACAATAGAGATTTAATATTTGGAGGAAAGTATTTTAATGTATAAATAATACATTTCTATCACAAAAGAAATTTACCTTTGAATATAAGGAGGGAGGGAATAGCTACTTTCAAATCATGGATAACATAAAAAGAACACAAGAATGGGGGAGTGAGGCAATCACAAGTTTAACCCTTAAATTATAAGGGGAAGTAGATTTCACTTCTGGAATGTCACAATATTTTTTCCATTTCCGAAAGTTAACCAAAGTGGTTGCTGAGATATCTTTTTATGTCCAGAACCCCTTAGCTGCTTAAGAAAGGCACAAACCAGGTCGGTGGCTCACATCTGTAATCCCAGCACTTTGAGAGGCCAAGGTGAGTTTGAGACCAGTCTGGGCTATATAGCAAGACCCCACCTCTTTAAAGAAAAAAAAAAAAAAAAAAGAAAGGCTCAAAATATTATTAAAACTGTTAAAATAGGGCTGGGTGAGGTGTCTCACGACTGCAATCCCAACACTTTGGGAGGCCGAGGAGGGCGGATCACAAGGTCACGAGATCGAGACCATCCAGGCTAACACCGTGAAACCCTGTCTCTACTAAAAATACAAAAAATATTAGCTGTGCGTGGTGACGGGCACCTGTAGTCCCAGCTAATCCGGAGGCTGAGGCGGGAGAACGGCGTGAACCCGGGAGGGGGAGCTTGCAGTGAGAGGAGCGGAGATCGCGCCACTGCACTGCAGCCTGGGAGACAAAGTGAGACTCCGTCTCAAAAAAAAAAAGCCCTCCAGCCTGGGCGACAGAGCGAGACTCCATCAAAAATACATACATACATACATACATACATACATACATACATACATAAAAAATAAAAATAAATAAAAATAAATAAAAACCCCGTTAAAATATAAATGTTTGCATGTTTGGTGTAGTTCCTTTTTCATGAGGGCTTACATAAGAAATACTTTATGGATTAAATTTGATCTACACCACAGAAGGTCATACATACATTTTCTGTTGCCTGGCAGATATAAATGAGTCTGTGCCATTTTTGGAGGTATAGCTTTCAAGTTACGTGTTTCAACACATAGTTCAATTTGAAATTTAAAATCAGAGTTTGAAACACTTGGCTTGAATCAACTGAAGATCAAGAGCTAATCCTTTTCAATCTCTTTCTGGCTCTTATTTTTTTGGACAAAGTCTTTCTCTTTAGCATTTAAACCTCTCTACTATAGTCTCACCCATTTTATATCAAGAAAGCCAGCATTAATATTATTCCATAACTTACTTAATTATACATCTATTATTTCGTTAGAAACTCATATATATCACTTTACATCATTTTATTCAACAGGTAAGGATTCAGTTTTGTTACTTAATGGACACACAAAAAATGATTTTACTCCAAAATAACATTTCATCATTTTTTCTATTTTAACTATTTTTAGCACTTCTGTGAATTCCCAGACCACTAAGTGAGACAAGAAAAAAATTATCCCAACTTTAGAGTTGCTATTATTTATACATAAAAGAGCATGTTGTCTTTAGTGCACCTGCAAACTAATATTAATCTCTCATTTGAAAGCCTGGCAGGCTCTCCTAATAACCACAAATGTAACAAGTTAGATTGGGTCCTAATCTTTTCACTCTTATGAAAGGAAGATCTATTAAAAATAATGATACTATGATAACACTAATTTAGCCGGTACTGCTGTTCCAAATCAGTGCTATACCTAGAGGCAGCTGTAGGTATTTTATTGAAAGCCAAAGTAAATTGGGGCAGTTCCCCTAGCAGTATAAATTAGTCAGAACCTTTGAGACATTGGTATATTTTAGGAGTGAAGCACTGAACTCTTTTTCTAAGAATTATGTCACCTTAATTCAGTAATTTGCTATGCCTCGGGGTTTGCATGTATTTTAGAGATACTGTAATGAAGTGTGTGAGTATTGTGTGTATTCATTTAAACACAGAAGTCCCCCAAGAATAAAAGGCATGCCTAATTCACTGGAAATGCTATCATTCTCAGAATGTTTCCAGATGTAATGCAAACTTGTACTAGCTAGGTTAGATAAGTTATTAGGAACATATGGTGATGAAATGGGTAAAATGTGCTAAAGAAATCACTGAAAATTAGGTCATCCTCAAATGAATTATCATAACCTGTAAAGTTTACAAACTGAAATACCACAGAGTAGTTTGCCTCCCTGTCTCTCTGGCTTGGGTAGATTTACATTCTTTTTTTTTTTTTCAAAGTCTTCAAACTCCATATGTTTTCCTTGATCCAATTTAAATGCTAGGCCTAAAAGCAGAAATTTTACAAATTGGGGTAAATTTCTATACCTCACATAGTGGTCTGAGAATTCACAGAAGCACTGTATATTGTAAAATGGAAGAAATGGGAATATATTGGTGTGTAAGAAGATTTATTTTTTATTTGTGGCTATAGTTTAGTGAAAAACAATGCCAAATAGGCTTAAAACTGTTACATTGCTTGCTTAAGCTGTCTTCGTCCACTGCTACCTGCTTCAATCTATAACATGCTTGTTTTTATCCTACACAGGTCATGTATACCTCTCCAGATTTTGCTTTTATTGTATGTAATGTTGTATTTTTTTTCCTACTATTAAAATTAAACCGACAGAAGAAAGTGTAGTGTAATCAAAGAGCATAGATTTCAGAATTAGACAGCTCTTTGTTAAAACCTGGGTTTGGCTTTTATTGTTGTGGAACTTTGCATATTTTTTCTTCAACAGTGTGAGACTTATTTTTTCCATTAAATACATGTGTTGAGAGAACTATTATAAAGCTCTTATTATTAAACTTTTTAATTTTTTATTAAACCTGTAAAAAAATTCCCTCTTTTAATTGTGGCTAACAGGGTTTATGTAATGAGAAGAAAACATATATTTGTCCCATTGTCTTATTTGTGTTTATATTAAATGTACATATGTTCCTATCTTATAAACAATGCATTTGTATTTTCTCATCACTGTGCTAAATATGCTGTGATTAGAATTTTAAACTGAATATCATCAGATAGATGCTAAATTGTGCTTTTGATGCTCTAGTAAAAATGATTCACCTTCTTTTGGTTTTAGAGAATAAAGCTGATTTTAAAAATATCATACTGGGAATGAAATCAATGGGCTGATGTGTCAAATTTGCACAAAGAACACTATCAACATCAAGGACCCACATCAATGTGAGAATGATTTCTACTTGTCTGATTTTTATGCTGTGAAGGAATATGTAATGCTGCTAGTAGACAAACTCCAGGCTATGTCCACATGACATAAATATTCAGGTAGCTGAAATGTAAAAATGCAAGCCTGGTATTTTGATTTATATTTTAGTAACAAATTTGCTTTTTAGCTATTTAAGTACTTTAGTGTAGATTCTAAGTACAAGTAGCAATACTAGAGAACATGCGTAGATCTTTGGCCTATTCCTTCTTTGAGTCAACTTTTTTAAAACAAATATTTCTATAACTTGAAGTTATATTTTAGAACCTAAAATTTAAATAGTTACTCTTAGAAACCAAATTTTATACAATGACATTTATCATGTTATAAAGAATTACACATGCATAAACCAATATGATAAAATATTATATTTGTTTTTGATCATTGTTATTATACTATTTAATCTACCAGGTTCTCCTAATGCTCTGTGTTAGAGGGACAACATGAATAATAGACTAGTGTCTTAGTCCCTTTCCTGTTACTCATAACAGAATACCTAAAACAGGGTTATTTATAAATAAAAGAAATGAATTTGTTACAGTTATGGAGGCTGAAATGCCTAACCCTGGGGGGCTGCCTCTGGTGGGGGTCCTGCAGGTGGGGCACTTGGTGGAATCCCAAGATAGTGCAGGGCCTCGTTTTGTGAGAGGACTGAGTATGTTAGCCCCACCCTCTCTTCCTCCTATGAAGCCACCAGTTTCACTCCCATGATAACCTATTAATCCATTAAACCATTAATCTGTGAATGGGTATATCCCTCATGACTTAACCACCTCTTAAAGGCCCCACCTACGATACTGAGATATTGGAGATTAAATTTCAACATGAGTTTTGAAGGGGACAATTATTCAAACCATAGCAACTGGTGGTACAGTCCTTCAATGGTGAGAGCAAAATGATAAAAATAAAAACAAACTTTTTAATAGAAAATTGCTTTCAAACTAAATGAATGAAACAAAATATTAATACATAAATCATAAAACCATTTTAGTTACATAAATCATGTATGCTTTTATTTAAGGGCAAAAAGGGATTTGACTTACAATATCAAGTCTGCTAGGTCTTAAAGTAAAACACCCACAATGTTTTTTGAGTTCATCTATGTGTGCATAGATGAGAGTGAAGCTTATTTATTAAATGATCTTTGGGCAAATGAAAGGCACTTCAGTTAATTTTAACTACACATTTAAAGATGTGAAAATAAATTTTCTTTGGAAAAAATCTAATTTGAAATATTCCCTGTTACTGTGAGTAAATAGTTTCATAGAGCAAACCATTAAACCAGTATTACTAAAATCAAATATTTCAAAGGCAACACATTAAAACAAGCTTGCTGTATTTTGTTGATATGTATTTAAATATGAATTTAATTCTGCTTGATTCAAAAGTTCTGAATCGCACCTTACCAATTTGTGTCACAGGGAGATGGAGAGCAGATTACTATGCGTAAAGAAAAATAAAACTTTGCCATTGTGTATGATTGTTCATTTTATTACATTATTTTTATTTTCACTATAATATTTTGATAATAATTATGACCAGAATATTCTTTGATAGGTGAAACGATAAAGAAACTTTGCATAAATACCATAAAATATTCTTCAATTATAAAAATAAATGCACAATCAAGCCACAAAAAGACATGGGGAAATCTCAAATTTTGCTAAGTGAAAGAATCCAATCTAAAGAGACTGAATACTATATGATTCCAGTTATATGATATTCTGAATAAAGCAAAACTAGAGTGATGGTAAATGGATTATCATCAGTGGTTGCCATGGGTTGGCTGTGGGGGTGTTGAATAGGGGAAGCACAGAAGATTCATTTAGGGCAATGCGACTAATCTGTATGACACTGCCTCAGTAGATATGTGCCATTACAAATTTCTCAAAACCCATAGCACTTTACAGCACAAAGAGTGAAACTTAATATTGGTTATTTATTTATTTATTTATTTATTTATTTATTTATTTTTTTTGAGATGGAGTCTCGCTCTGTCGCCCAGGCTGGAGTGCAGTGGCGTTAACTCGGCTCACTGCAAGCTCCGCCTCCTGGGTTCACGCCATTCTCCTGCCTCAGCCTCCGGAGTAGCTGGGACTGCAGGGGCCCACTACCATGCACGGCTAATGTTTTTTGTATTTTTGGTAGAGACGGGGTTTCACTGTGTTAGCCAGGATGGTCTCGATCTCGTGACCTCGTGATCCACCCACCTCGGCCTCCCAAAGTGCTGGGATTACAGGCGTGAGCCACCGCGCCCGGCCTTAATATTGGTAAATGTTTAAAAAGTCATTTGAGAGGTTGGGGGATCCAGGGTTAGAATGCAGAATATGACAATACAACTTAACTTTATAAAACAATCTCATTGAGGAGGTGGGAGATAAGGTGATTTGTAAATGAATGGTGTCTGTATGAGTAAAGGCTAAAGGAACTGCACATAACCACCGTGCTCTAGTTGACAAAGTTTATTCCCTTAGGGTTGCAGGTTAACAATACTGATACTGCTTTACATGTATAATATAATGGAATTGAACAATGAAATAAATGGAGGGTGGATGTGATGAATCAGGTTTCTCACTGTTGGAGTGGAAGTTTACAAATAAGCAACGAGAAGAAGCAGAATGATGCACGTAGTAATGAACCAGATTTGGGAATAGCAAAAATAACTCTTGTTTGGTTAATATAGTTACAGATACAGAAATATTTACACATATATGTGCATATATGGGTTAGTGGATTCTTACTCTGTCAGCAGAGAGGACTTAGAAACAACAGCACTTCAGTAGTGACAAGCACACCTAGTACCCAAATCCAGGTTTCTTTTTCTTTTCTTTTTTTGAGACGGAGTCTTGCTCTGTCGCCCAGGCTGGAGTGCAGTGGTGCGATCTCGGCTCACTGCAATCTCTGCCTCCCTGGTTCAAGCAATTCTCTTGCCCCAGCCTCCTGAGTGGCTGGGATTACAGGCCACCGCGCCCGGCTAATTTTTGTATTTTTAGTAGAGCCAGGGTTTCGCCATGTCCGCCAGGCTGGTCTCAAACGCCTGATCTCGGCCTCCGAAAGTGCTGGGATTACAGGCGTGAGCCACTGCGCCCGGCCCCAAGTCCAGGTTTCTAATACCACTTTCCAATATTAGGATACGGGACTCCTCAGAGATATGGCCGATTCTGGGACTTAAACAGAAAGAATATAAAATAAACCTGGATCATCTTGTAGTGCCATAAAGTAAGAAAGTACTTAAGACACACACACACACACGCACACACACACACCTTCAAACCTCATCATGATAGGTATAGGTCAAAAGGAAACAGGAGTCAACTGAAAGAGCTCTCAGTTGCCAAAACTAGAAAAAGTTGAGCAGGAAATTTAACAAAGTATAATTATATTATAACCCAAAGTATACAATAAATTTCTACAAACTCATCATGACATATGTGAAGTTTTGAACAAATAAAGGAAAGTAGACAAATTTCTGATGCAGAATAATTTTGAATTATTTATATAGATATTGGACATTTGCTAGATAAAGCCTAAGTTTTACTCCTGAGCTGTGGGCTGCACATAACTTTCTCCCAAAAAGTAAGGTATTGAAGAGGAAAAACAGAGTAACTTTGTAGTGCACTAACCTGACAAACATTACCTTAGCCAGGTGATCAATGTAAACATCAATTGTAATAATTAATGTTGGTAGTACACACTGTGTTGTTGACATAAGGTAATAATACTTTTTATAAAATGGCACTTTATCTCTGTGGTCTATCACTAAAAAACCCATATTTAATAATGATAAAAGGAAAAAAGACTAGACAAATCCCAACTGAAGGACATTATACAAAATACTAGGCCAGTACTCTTAAAACTGTCAAGGTCATTAATAACAAGGAAAATCTGAGGAACTATTACAGCCAAGACAAGCTTCGAGAGACATAATGACTAAATGCCATGTAGTAATCTCAATAATATCTTAAAATAGCAAAAGGATATCAGGTAAAATATAAGAAAATCTAAACTATGGACTTCAGTTATCAATATTGGTTCATTAATTATAAAAATGTGCCATATAACATAAGGTGTTAATAGAGAAAACTAGATTTAGGGTGTATGGGAACTCGGTAATATCTTTGAAATTTTTCTGTAAATCTAAAACCACTTTAAAACAAAAGGGTTATTAAAAAATCTAGTCTACCATCTTTGCTCAAAGCATATTAACAATGAAACAGTGTGAGCAGGTAAATATTTGATACTTTTCTTGAAATATGGTTCAATTAAAATTTAAAATAATGTGACCTTTTCTTCAATTTCTTTACTTCTTTTTATTACAGACCTAAAATATTGCCAGTTGACCTAATTATTATTACAGATTGAGCCAGCTCTTCCTCAGTGCTATTTTCATTTCCCTTCAAGGAAAGAAGCTTTTATGAGACGCTCATTCATTAACAAATTCATTTCATTAAGTTTGGAGCCCTTATGTAAGCTTATTTTTCTTATATATGCAAAACTGTTAGATAGGATTAAAAAGAAGAAAAGAAAAGAAAGCAAAAGAAAACAACAGAAAAGAAAAGAAGAAAAGAATGAGATGTGTGCTATCTTTCAGCTATGGTGTGACCACAGCCCATAAGCCTCAGGAGAGGCAGTGGTTAAAGGACAAACATGAAGGACAAACTGAGTGACGGCACCAAAAAGCTGTGAGAACTGATAAATTTGGTAAAGTTGCAGAACACAAAACCAAAAGGCAAAAATTAGCAGCATTTATATATACCAACAGTGAACGATCTGAAAAAGAAATCAAGAAAGCAATCCTATTTATAATACATAAAAAGAATATAACATACCTAGGAATCAATTTAACCAAAAAACTGAAAGGTCTATACAAGGAAAACAATAAAACTCAGATGAAAGAAATTAAAGAGGACAGAAAAAATGGAAAGATATCTCATGCTCATGCATTGGAAGAATTAATATTTTTAAAATGACAATACTACCCAAAGTATTTTACAGATTCAGTACAATCCTTTTCAAAGTACCAATGATATTCTTCAAAGAAACAGATAAAAAATATCCTAAACTTCATGTGGAAGTACAAAAGACCCTGGAAAGCCAAAACAATTCTGAGCAAAATGACCAAAGCAAAAGGCATCACACTACCTGGCTTCCAACTACAGTACAATGCTATAGTAACCATATCAGCATGGTACTGTGTTAAAAGCAGACACATAGACCACAAAACAGTATAGAGAACTGAGATAAAAATCCACGCATTTGCAGCCAACTCTTGACAAAGGCATCAAGAACATACAATGGGAAAGGACAGTCTCTTCAATTAATGGTGCTGGAAAAAACTGAACCACCACATGCAAAAAAAAAAAAAAAAAAAAAAAAAAGCGAAATTAGACACTTACGTTTTACCATATGAAAAGTCAAAACGGATTAAAGACTTAAACCTAAGACTTTAAACTATAAAACTACTAAAAGAAAATGTTAGAGAAACACTATATAACAATAGTCTGGGCAAAGATTTTTTTTGTGAAAGACCTCAAAAGCACAGGAAACCCAAGCAAAAATAAACTAATTGAATTACATCCAGTTGAAAATCTACTGCACAGCAAAATAAACAATCAAGAAAGTAAAAAGACAACCCACAAAATGGGAGAAAGTACTTGCAAACTATCCATCTGACAAGAGATTAATAACCAGAGTATGTAAAGAGCTCAAACAAGTCAATAGCTAGATAAAACCAAATAACCAATTTGAAAAATGGGGAAAATATGTGAATAACTATTTCTCAAAAGAAGAAATACAAATGGCCAATAGGTGTTTGAAAAATGATTGAACATCACTAATCATCAGAGAAATGTAAATGAAAACTGCAGTGGTGCATCATTTGACCCCAGTTCAAATGGCTTTTATCAAAAAGACAGAAAATAATGGACGCTGGTGAGGATGTGAAGAAGGGAGAACCCTCATACACTCTTGATGGGAATGTAAATTAGTATAACCACTGTGGAAAACTGTATGGAGTTTCCTCAGAAAATTAACTATAAAACTACCTTATAATGCAACAATTTCACTACTGGGTAGATTTCAAAAAAAAAAAAAGAAAGAAAAAGAAAATACATGTATCAAAGAGATATCTACACGCCCATGTTTATTGTAGCACTATTCATAATAGCCAAATTATGAAACCAGCCTAAGTGCCCATCAGTGGATGAATGGATAAAATAACACGGTGTATAATAGACACAATGGAATATTATTCACCCTTAAATAAGAATGAAATCTTGTCATTTTCAGCAACATGGGTAGAACTCAAGGTCATTAAGTGAACTGAAATAAACCAAGCACAGAAAGACAAATATCACATGTTCTCACTTGTATGTGGGAGCTAAAAAGTGGATCTCGTGAGGATAAAGAGTAGATTGGTGGTTACAAGAGGCCTTGAAGGGTATTGAAGAGGGAGGATGAAGAGAGGTTGATTAATGGGTACAAATATACAGTTTGATAGAATAAATAAGACCTAGTGTTTAATAGATCAGTAAAGTGATTATAGTTTACAATAACCTACTGTATTTTTCAAAACAGTGGGAAGAGAATAATTCAAATGTTTCTAGCCTAAAGAAAATCAAGAATTTAATGTGATGGATATACCAATTACACTTATTTGATCTTTACCACATACTTGCATGTATTAAATTATCACAGGTATCCTGAAAATATTTACATCTATTATGTATCAATAATAATAAAAGATTAATATACCCATTTCTACATAAAAATTTTTACAAACTAATCAAAACTGTTTATTTGATTGTAGATTAAACAGTGTAATTCATTTTATTAGCTGTAAAGTCTATCCTAAATATTTTGGGGGCCAAGGAAAAGAAGACAAATAAAATCTCACATATCATATGTCTAAAATTTGAAGTTACAATCAATTTAAGTTCAACTTAAATCGTCAAATTTTGTTCCTGTACATTGACAACAAACTATTCTAAAATTCATATGGATCCAAAAAAGCCCAAAGAGCCAAAGTAATTCCAAGCAAAAAGAGCAAAGTTTGAGGCATCACATTACTGGACTTCAAATTATACTATAAGGCTATAGTAATCAAAACAGCATGGCACAGGTAGAGAAACAGACATATAGACCAATGGGAAAGAATACAGAATGCAAAAATAAAGTGCTTATACAGCTATCTGATCTTCGACAAAATCAACAAAATCCATCAGTGAAAAGCTGTGCATGTTGGCTCACACTGGTAATCACAGCACTTTGAGAGGCTGAAGTGGGAGAATCACTTGAGGCCGGGATTTCAAGGTTACAGGGAGCCATAATTGTGCCACTACACTCCAGCCTGGGTGACAGAATAAGATCTTGTTTCTTAAAAAATTTAAAATAAAATAAGCAATGGGGAAAGAACTTCTGTTTCAATAAATGGTGCTGAGATACCTGGCGAGTCATATGCAGAAGATACTGGACCCCTACCTTTCATCATATACAAAAATTAACTCATGATGGATTGAACATTTAAATTTGAGGAGTTATGCTGTCACAAACCAAGGGTCCCTGGAGCTACCAGAATCCAGAAGAGGCAAACAACCTTCCCCTAGAGGTTTTGGAGGGAGCATGGCCCTGCTGATATTTGGGTTCCAGACTTCTAGCCTCTTATTGTGAGAGAAGAAATTACCATTGTTTAAAGCCACCAAGTTTGTGGTATTGTTTTTAAGAGCAGCCCCAGGAAACAAATACGTGGAAAACAATCTTTTTTTAAATAACAAAAATTAGCAACATATTATAGTCAACTGAATACAATTATTATTTTACAAGCGCCATTGTTCTGTTGATGGGCAGGCAATGTTTGGATGAGTGAAAGAATACTTCATTCAAAAATTATTTTTGAAGTTATATATTATTGCAAATTATGTTTTTTTATTCAATTCATTTTTTTATCTTCGTCTTGACAAAATCATTAATCATACTGTCATAAACAAGATTTTACTTAATTTTTGTTCTATTGGCAATAACTATCAGTATAAACTTTTAAAATGCTAGAAATATCTTTAAAATGTTAAGATGTGAAAGACTATAAATAATAAGTAAACGTATACCCAGGTTACAAAATTTGAAAAGAGTTTTATAAAATACGTAAATTAAAGTAAATATAAACATTAAAATTATAATCCCCAATGCTTTCTAAAATGTTATCTCAGATATTCAAAACTTATTTATTATAATTAAAAATAAATATAATAATGGCATTCAAAATTTAAATTAAAATTACTTAGATAAGCCTGCAATTTGTATTTGATTTTTGAGAAAGGTAATTTAATAAAATATTTTTATAGAATTAAATATTTATAATTATAGGATTCATGATGAATCGAATATGCTAATGTAAAGGATACATTTTGTGACTTTAGCCCTGTTCTGAATAAATTTGAAAACAAGAGGATAAGTATATTTGAATAGAAATATGTGTTTAGATTTGGACTGTTATTTGAAGTGTTCGTGAAGCCTTCGGAGTCTGCTGTCCAATAGAAGTTCAATATATGTTTGGAAAACGTTTGAACTATGTATCAAATGACCTGGCAAGTGGATTTACAGATCAAATGACTGCACAAGTTTCTTTTTCTATCCCTGTTATACACTGTTTTAAAATAACTATCTTTTTTTAATCTTAAAGTTTTCAGTATTTTTGTATTCCAGAATATGCTGAAAATTATTAACAATTTATCAATTTTGGTCTTCTAAACATATTAAGATATTTCTTACCATTGTAAAAGTTTATACTTTCTCTGTTTTCACCTCGGGAGGAGCCGATACATTTCCGTAAGAATATACTTCAAATAATGTAAAAGAAGATCATTTTAAAATAGAGAAAATACATAAATCTACTTTATATAAAACTATAAATATATTACTCCTTAAACAAGAATTTCTAAATAATAATTCAAGTAAACTAAATGTTTTTTAAAGCAAAATTGTAATCAGTCATAAGAAACTAATTGAAGGCAAACTAAATTTTGTATATCTGGACATTCTCAAGGTACACAGTTTTGCAGGGCAGCATTTTTCTAAATCTTTATCACATACACACAAATGTTATATGGTTTAAAAAAGAGAATTACAAAAAATATAAAAAATACTATTTAATTTTTCTGTAAGATCAACAAGGAATAAGTAAGGAGACTAAAACTTTTAACTTGCAGGTCTCCAGTGACTCAGTTTACATTCTTGAAATACAGTTGCCCCTGAAACAATTCAGACATTAAGTAGATATATAGAAAGTTGGTAGGTAGATAGATAATAGATGATAAGATAGACATATTAGATGGATAGGTAAGAGAAAGATAATAGCTAGCTAGATTGCTAAAAATGTAGATATAGATGTATCTTATTAAATAAACATATTTTGGGGTAGCTGTGAATATTTTTCTGGAATATTCTGGCATGTTATTACTTTTATTTAATAAAAAGATTGATATGCTCTACATTTTAACTGACACAATTATAGATTGCCTTGTATAGATAACGGCACTGCATTCTTATCCTAGGAGAACATGTTTCAATAATGGTAGAGGAAAATAGAGAAGCCAACCAGCTGTGATATATGGTTAAAATTATGGCCAGGCACCTTGAGAAATAATATTGTTTATAATGAAATGAGTAAAAGTGTTCCCATTATATTTACTGCAGCTACATACAACACCTGTCACATAGTTCTTTTACTCCTATTCTTAAAGTTATAATGATTCCAAGAATTAATTTTGTTGAACAGTTTGTTCATGGAAGTGGTGATGTCTGCCAAATTAAACCATTTCTAAGAAGAGTGCTCATTTATCTTCCTTGGATTTCAACCAAACACATTTCACAGATAATGACAAAATGTAACTGCAAAACTTTAACTTGACTGGCATAAGGTTTAAGTAGAAATATTCCATCTACATCCATATTCATATCTATATCCATCTACATCCATATCTATTAGGCAAACCGCCCATTTGCAAAGACTCTCATCCTTAGGGTAGTGGATCTGAACTTTGCATATTGGAATCACTTGAGAAGCTTGAAAAGATACTGATATCTGGGTTCCATCCTCAGAAAGTTAGATTTAATTGGTCATGGGCATTGGTTCATGGGCACTGCAATTTTTAAAAGCTTTCCAAGTGGTCTCAATATCCAAAGAAATTGTAGAACCACTGTCTTAGCATTTTAAGAAGGCTTGAAGAAAAAGGATAGCATGTTATATTTTATAAATGTTCCATTGGAATAACTGTGTCTAAACACTTAGTACTGTCTTCTTCGGATATATTTTAAAATAAGAGATTTTAGATTTTAAAATAAGAGATTTTCAGTTATTAAAAATCCGATGTTTAGATAAAATATAATTGAAAACTGATTTCTATATTATTTTGGTACCCAGCCCATGAAGCTGTTGCTTTCAAGTTTTCTACTTCATGATACAATGATTGCAGTATTGATTTTTTTTAATTTATTTTAAGTTTCAGGGTACATGTGCAGGATCTGCAGGTTTGTTATACATAGGTAAATGGGTGCCATGGTGGCTTGCTGCACCTATCAACCCATGACCTAGGTATTAAGCCCAGCATTTATGAGGTATTTTTCCTGATGCTCTCTCTCCCCCAACTCCGCCACCTTCACCACCAATAGGCCCCAGTGTCTGTTGTTCCCTTCCCAGTGTCCATGTGTTCTCATTGTTCAGCTCCCACTTATAAGTGAGAACATGTGGTGCTTGGTTTTCTGTTCCTGCATTAGTTTGCTGAGGATAATGGCTTCCAGCTCCATTCATGTCCCTACAAAGAACATGATCCCATTGCTTTTTATGACTGCATAATATTCCATGGCGTATATGTTCCACATTTTCTTTATCCAGTCTATCATTGATGGGCATTTGGGTTGATTCCGTATCTTTGCTATTGTGAATAGTGCTGCAACGAACATACACATGCATGTATCTTTATAAGAGAATGATTTATATGCCTTTGGATATATACCCAGTAATGGGATTGCTGGGCCAAATGGTATTCTGTTTCTAGCTCTCTGAGGAATTGCCACACTGTCCTCTGCAATGGTTGAACTAATTTACAATCCCACCAACAGTGTAAAAGTGTTCCTATTTCTCTGCAGCCTCGCCAGCATCTGTTGTCTCTTGACCATTTAATAATCACCATTCTAACTGGCGTGAGATGGTATCTCATGGTGGTTTTGATTTGCATTTCTCTAATGATCAGTGATATTGAGCTTTTTTTCATACGTTTGTTGGTTGCCTAAATATCTTCTTTTGAGAAGTGTCTGTTTGTGTCTTTTGTAAAGATCATATTAATGTTGAAGGTCAGTGATGTGCTTGTACATATCTAACAACCAACTCCTTCAGGACAAAAAGGCTCTGACTTGAAGTATTTTCTGATTTTCATGATATATTTATTTCTCACTATGGTTATTTTCAAGCTACAACATGAATCAACCAGCTCACAAAAACCCTGGAGATTTAATAGTCAGCTGTTACAAACTTGGAGCTGGCTCCAGCACACCACACTGCCAGTGATGTTGCATGTCTAACCCTATGAGCTGCACTAAACATGTCAGTTCATCCTCAGATCCACACAGTGATAAAGCGACATTCCAATTAGTTCTAATTCATAGGCAAGAAAGAAGAGGCTAAGGAGACAAGTTGCTCAAGTCAGACAGTAGCTGTCAACATATCATTTTGAACACTTGCTATGAATCAGCTTGCTATTTTCCTTGCTGTAGATTCATGATGGTGTCTCTACCCTCAAAGAGCCTATATTCCACTAGTAAAAAGCAGAAAAATCAGTAAGTCAATATACAGGATAAATTCAGTGGTTGATAGGAGCAATGAGGAAAATAGGATTGATGATATGGTAGAGAGTGACTGGTACAAAAAGCTATTTTAGGTTGGACTGTAGAGGAATTTTCTTGGAATAAATTGTACATGGTAACTACACAAAGTAGCAAAACTTTGGGGGTGCATTCTAAGGGAAAGAAATAACTGCAAATTTGTAAAAAGTGGTTTAAGCAAGGGATTTCTGAAATATAACTAAGAATGCAGGAAATACACCAGGAAAGAAAAAGGAAACAGTTGGGAAGAGTTGGCAGAAGATTGTTTGTTTGTTTGTTTTATTGAGATGGAGTCCTCACTCAGTTGCCCAGGCTGGAGTGCAGTGGCACAATCTCTGCTCACTGCAACCTGCACCTCCTGAGTTCAAGTGATTTTCCTGCTTTAGCCTCCAGAGTAGCTAAGATTACACAGGCGCATCACCACATCCGGCTAATTTTTGTATTTTTAGTAGAGACAGTGTTTCACCACGTTGGCCAAGCTGGTCTCAAACTCCTGACCTTAAGTTATCTACCCACCTAGGCCTCCCACAGTGTTGGGATTACAGGCATGAGCCACTGTGCTTGGCCCAGAAGATAGTTCCTTATAGGCTCTTGTAGATTTCATTTATTCTACCTATAATGGAAAGCCACTCTAAAATATTAGGCCTGAGAATGACATGATCTGAATTATGATCCTAAAGATACCTCAGACTTCTCTGACCAAGCGGGTGTGGGGGCTTAAAAGAACAGATAGAAGATTCTGACTGTTGTTTAGGCATTGATAACGGTGGCTTAGATCAGTGTAGAGTTTCCCAAGTCATGTGCGAAAGCAGTGGTCCTCTCACATCCCAAGGGCAGTTTGTGGAGTTAGGTGTCACTTGTCCCAAACTGCCTATCACTTCAGCTGTGAGCAGCCTTGTCATTTCACCCCAGTATTGATATTAGTAGTGTCAATTTCTCTAAGCCACGACATAAAAGGAAAAGCATAGGGAAGTGGTTAGCAGTGAATACGGGAAGATAAGTTTAAATTACAGATATTATTTGAAGGTAGAGCTGTCTGCATTTACTGATCATTTCAGTGTGGGATTTAAAGAAAAAGAGAAAATAATAACGGAATCAGTCCAAGTCCACACAGGAAACAGATGGAAGGCTAAAAAGTGTGGACAAAAAGGAGTTTAATCAAGGGCAATTTGCAAAGCCATGGAAAAATTAAAGCCATATCAACGGAATTATGAATTACCGTGGGACTCTCAATCATAGGAAGCTGTTATCCGTAGCCCTAAAAGTGCGATGGAGCAGTACTTTTGACTTTAAAACTATTTAAGACAATTAAAGAAACTTTTGAATGGAAATACATAGAACCAAAATGCTTTTCTGTTCTCCTCACTCTCTTCATAGTGGTATGGGATACATTGGCACAATAACACATTGATGTCATTATAAATAATTTTTATTAGCAAGAGAAAATTTATTTGTAGATGCTTCACCCTGAAGTGTCATAAAGTCCTAAGCACACTTCTAGAGAAAACTCTAAGTATCGACTCTTCCGTTTCCTGATACAAAGTTTTGAGGTTTCGACATCTTGGAATTCCTCAATCAACTTCTTCATGATAGTAGTATTTGAATTTTGCTAGCTAATAACCCAAGCCAAAGGCCTTACTGACTCATAATCATTTCACCTATGTTTGGCATGTGTGTTTCTGATACCAAGATCTTGGGGTTCTGTTCATCTCCCTGCTCATTAATGTAACTGCTTCCTTTCTGGTATCTCTCTCTAAAACAAAGGTTTAAGTAAAAAGGATGAGTTAATCTGAACTGACACCCTGGTTAGAGACCAGTGGATTCCTCACTATAATAAAGATTATCATGAGTTTTTTTCAGTGCAGGTTGTCCTAGCATGGTAGCACACACCTGTAATCCCAGCTACTTGGGAAGCTGAGACAAGAGAATCACTTGAACCCCGGAGGCGGATATTGCAGTGAGCCGAGATTGCGCCAAGCACTCCAGCCTGGCGACGGAGTGAGACTCCATCTCAAAATAGTAATAATAATAATAATAATACCACAAACTGAGTAATTTATAATTAAAATAAATTTATTTATCACAACTCTGTAGACTTGGAAGTCAAACATAAAGGTGTCAGCATCTGGTGAGGGCCTTTATGTTGCATAATCCCATGGCAGAAATTTGGAAGGGTGAGTGAGGGTGAGAGAGAGTGAGCAAGAGGACACTAAACTCACTTTTATAATAAAGCCACTCTTGTGATTACTAACCCACTTCTATGATAACGATATTAATTTATTCAAGGGAGTAAAGTCTTTATGGCCTAATTACCTTTTAACAGACCAAACTCTCAATACTGTCACGATGGCAATTAAATTTCAACATGCCTTTTGGAGGGGACATTCAAATCATAGCACTGGGGTTGAAGTAGGAATACTTTGGGGCTCTTTTATTCTGATTGTCTCTATAATACATGTTTATATGTGCTTCCCACTTTTTTGTTCTTCATTGAAGTAATTTTCATTGAGCTAACTTTCAAGGAACTAAATGAGGATGTGAGCACATCAATCTAGCATATCAAATATACCAACCATAAAATAGTGATTGAAATTTCTTTGGGTGTTTTCTTGTTTTCTGTTGTTATTCAAGAATATAAATAGATCAATGTAGACATATTGATATAATACCTAATAGATATGCATTACTAAGAGGAATGTACGTTATAACAGGAATTAATAGAATTGCAAATATTAGAATCACAGATTTTTAAAAGTAAACACTGAATTATCCAGACTGGCTTTACAGATGAGAGAGAAAGAGAAAGAGAGTCTTTGAATTAGCACTATTATCTTCAGAATGCAAATGGTAATAATCAAATTTGAACGAGTATGCCATATACAAAGCTCCCACTTTAATGATTCTGTCAAAACCTCAAAAATCTTACTTTTCCTTGAGTACCAAGAGTTGTTGACTGTGGAGTCAAGATTTATGGTAGTTTCATTGTCATGTGTGTTACATAGATGGCTCTGATGAGTGTAAGATATTAACATTGTCATACCTGAGATTGGCATATGTATATGATAGCCTTAAGCTTTTGCTGTAAATGTATATTCAAAGTGAATACTTGATAGGCTAATTATAAAATAAAATTATAGTATTCACCTTTTCTTTTACAATGGTAATTTTTAAATTGCTGGGTTAATCAAATTGATTTATTCTTCTTAGGCTTTTTTATGTTAATGCTAATTATATTCATCTGTTATATCTGTTTTTCTTAGTTGTCTGACAAACATATGACCATGGTAGACAAAAACTTTGAACAGTTAAATTGGTTGGAAAATTAAAACACTACTTTCAATGCTGATTATTAATTATTTGTAAAGGTAAACCCATTGCAAAAAGCCTTAGGGCACATGCCAATTAACTATTTTTAAACCATAAAAATATAAATAGCTGCAGCATGAGAATTCTAATTACCAATGGATGTCTCTTGGCCTGAAAAGTTAGGTTTTATAATATGCCCTGAAAGTCATAAAACAAATCTCTGAAGAGTAAGTAGACAGATAGTCAACAGCACTTATTGATGTATCCTTCTGAATAGAAGCAGAAGCCATGAACCTGGTAAGCTTCTGATTCCCAAAAACATGATTTGGGATTCTTGTAAACCCTGTGTGGACTGGACATCTGAGAGTCATGTAGGAGCAATGCTGCATCTCACTGAGAATTGTGGCATGTTCCTTTACAGAGAGGAGCATGTTTTCTTCCTAATGAATCCTAACATGCTTTGGCCTGCCTGGATGACAGCTAGTACCATTAAAAATGTATATCCCCACAATTTGTTTTAGTAATTTATTTAGTAATTATTTGTAAAAGACCAGGTGATCACAATTGCTAAAACTGTAATTTTTAAAGTCTACAAATGTGGGACTAATTCTTAAAATGTTTATGGACCATTCTAGCCAGGGAGATTTCAGGTGATGCTTGAGTTAGATTTCCTTTGATAGAAACAAAAGATCCTGAATCTAACTTAACCAAAATTCAGTTAAAAAAGAAAGAAAGAATGGACATGGAATTGGAGAGATAACACTCACTATTTTTATTTAAAGATGAAAAACTAAGATAATGTTAGGAAAAGAATAAGGTCAGCTTATCAATCTTAGTAGCAACAGAACTCAATGTTTTTTACTCAAGGCATTTACATTATAATTAACCAGAGTTAGTTTTCTGTGACATTCTTTCCTGTGTAATTCTGTGTGTGGTCTGAATGCCAAGGAATATAGTGTGATTAGCATGATTTGTGCATGTGCTAGACTTTCGGTTGGGTCATAGCATTGGAGCAACTCTGGTAATATTGTTCCAACAAGAACTATGTGCAGTGGCAAATTGCAATAGCAGACTTCTCTAAGCAAAGTCAAAGAGAAGTGCTACTATTAAAGAATAATAAAGAAAATATTTAGATATTCCCCAAATAAATTATTTATTTTCAGTATTATTTTCTTTCTACAAAAAGCTAGATTAACCTATAACATTTCTCTAAAGAGAAAAAAAAAAACAATAAATTACTTAGATTACGAACAGGCTGTCTTTTTCCAATGCTGCCTGCCCCATTTGGCTGAAAACGTAATGAATAGGCCACACTTAAAATCTCATAGTTTGGTATGGGAGTTTGCACATAGACTTAAAAAAAAAAAACTGACTAAAATATTATTATAAAAACTGACTAAAGTTGTATTCATTATAATATCTAAGAATTATAGCGTTTATAAAGAATTATATTTCATTACTTTATTTACAAAGTCAATCCTACTAAGAAGAAGATTCTGGAAATAAATCCATAAAACCATAACCCCAACCTTCTATCGGTTGGCTTCTTCTCTGGAATAGGACAGTAGCATCCTTAATATCAAAACTGGAGAGGGTATTGAGGCAGAGGGCTCTGCCTGGATCCACTGAAGCATTGGACTTATTAGTATTAGGTCAAGGACAAGAACGGGTCAAGGACAAGAGCTGGATACCCTAATGACTTGTGTGTCAGCACTGAGATGCTCAGGATCATCTGTATCTGCCAGCCCACATAAATTCTGGGGGAGGCCTTGTTGGTCTTTCTGGATCTGGAAAGGAGCTGCCAAAGTGAGCTGAGTGACTTTCAGGTTTGGAGGCTGAAAGAGGTCTGACAAATGCCATGGGTGAAATACTGTCACAGGTTACTTGGGTGGTTCTTTTCTGGCCAGAAACCTCTGTGGCTGGTGACACCTTTGCCCAAGTTTCTCTTGGGCCTCCTGGGCTCATTCTGTCCACTTGGACTGGCACACACTACCGGCCTGGATCCCATGCCTGCCAAGGGCAAGCCAGGCATAGAGCAGTGAAGGGTGTGTGCACGAGTCAGTGTGGAGTTTGGCCACTGCACACACTCAGGCACACTGGCTGCTGCAGCAAGGAGGACAGCTCCAGTTGCTGACGCAGGCGCTGGCTCACTGCAAGGGTGTGGCTGGACCAGGGACACCACAAGAACCTTCCATGGCTGGCACCAGGGATTGTGGTGGTGCCCAAAAACTTGGAGACTCCAGGAACTACAGGCCTCCAAAGAGGGAGTCGCAGCAGTGGCTCAGGGAGCTTTAATGTCTGGGCTCCCCAAAGGGGTCCAGCTCTCTTTTCCTACTCTTTGCCTGCAACATGGCAAACAAGGGGCATGTTTCAGCCTTGTGTTACAGCTCTGTCAATCAGCAGGTTCTAAGTTCTTGTCCTGCACCCAGGAAGAATGAGGTACGTGGACAAGTGGAGGGTGAGCAACGTGAAGTGGAGCTTTATTGAGTGACAGACTAGCTCAGAGGAGATCCTGGAGTGGGTAGGTCCTCTCCACAGACAAGTCATCCTATTGAGTGCTCAGCTGTCAGCAGAGAGGATGCCCAGGAGTGGGTAGCTCCTTTCTGCAGGCACATCATTCCATCATCTCCCTGAGTCTGGCTGACTCTGGTGTTTGTGTGGACCTCAGATGGGAGAAAGTGCATGCTGATTGGTTCATGGGTGACCGTTGGTGGGCTCAGAAAAAAGCACCACCAGTTTCAGTCTGCGAGACTGGTAGACAGTCCCCAGGCTCCAGGCCTTCCCCAGCCTGAAAGTGGCGCTTCACTGGGGACCTGCCGCTTTCTGCCCTGAAGCCTGTCTTCCTCCTACCATTTTCTATGGTGCCCAGACTGTTTGTGCTGAGGGATGCCTGCAGGCCAGCACTGAGCTGCCCTCAGACTCCCCTTGGCCTCCTTACCGTGCTCATAGGTGCCCAAAGTCTGGAGGGGGCTGAAGCACCAGGGGGCTGGTGTGTCAGCACTGCCCTGAGCATCTGCACACCTGGCTGGGCTACAAAACACCCAGGATTGGTGTGGGTGCCAGAAGAAGGGAGAGACCAGGTAGCGGGAGCAGACACCTCTGAATCTATGGGGCAAGAAAGGCCTTCCCAGGCCCTCAAAAGTGCAGAGATGCCTGGTTCTGCAGTTGTGGCTTGGGTGGCTGCAGCTGCACCCAGGAGGGTGGGGCTCCTACCAGTTCTCGGCCCATAAGAGCACAGGAAGACCTAGATCTGCAGCTGCAACTTGGGTGGCTGCAGTTGTGCCCAGGGAGCTCCTGCCCCACCAACTCAGAAGGAGCAGGGTTCTTTCTTGTCCCCAGCCCCTGCTGGCAACATGCAGCAAGTAGCCCCAGCCTCAGCTCCCTTCTGCAGTTGGTGTCTTGGCAGTGGCTGCCTCAGATGGCCCACTGCAGCCATCAATACTTCTGGGAGCAAAGAGGATTTTTCTCTGGCCTTAGCAGGGAGTTGGCGCTTAAGAAATAATCTCCTGTCTGGTCACAGGCATAGAAAGACCTGTGCTTACTTGTGACTCTCCTTTTGTCCATTTATCCCAGTAAGTTAATCTGAGGGTATAAAAAGAAAAAAAAAAAGTGATATTCTTAAGAGCGTAAGAAACCACAGGAAGGAATAACAAAGAACCCAGAGGTAATGTTGCTCACATTAAAATAGTAATTGGAGTAGGCAGACAATAGCCTTAACAAAATGATAATATGAGCCCTAGAGGAGCACCAGTTAAGTTATTAAAATCATGATATTACCATTGCAAAAACTCATTGAAACATTTGGAAGACTGAGACATCACTATTCAGCACCAAGTTAGTAGATTGAAAGGTCTTTTGAAATCGATAGCTCAGAAATCACAGGAAAAAAAAAAGATGACATGTAGTGGAAGCACTAGGGTATTTTTTAGGATAAGTTGCCAGAGATATAAAGTAGTATGTTTTTTAGAAAAAGAAAAATAATACATTATATCGAAGAAATAATTAATTAAATCAAAGGACGCAAAATATCTGATCCATAGAAATGTTCGTTTCTCATAAAGTCCCAGACAAGATTAATTAAAAATGCCTTTACCATTCTTGCAAAAATCTTGAATTCTGAGGACAAAGACAATAATCCACAGCTTTCAGTCAATAACAACAAATTAATTATAGAATGAAATGAAACATACTAGCAATGGCTTCTCATTGGTAACAATACCTGGTGGGAGCTCATGAAACCTGGAGGAAAGTGCTTAATTCAGGATACATCAAATATACAATTCTTTTTTTTTCAAGAGTATAATATATTGTTAACCATGGTCACCATGTTGTGCAACAGATCTCTAAGTTATTCCTTCTATGAAACTGATATTTTGTATCCTTTGACTAACATCTTTCCAATCATCCTGGAGCCACTCCTGCCCCTAGTAATCACCATTCTACTTTCTACTTCTATGAGTTCAATAGTTTAAGACTGCACATATGAGGAAGATCATGCAGCATTTTTCTTTATGTGACTGCTTTATTTCATTTGACATAATGCCCTCCAGTTTTATCCACGTTGTTGCAAATGACAGAATTTACATCCCTTTTATGGCTAAATAGTATTGCATTGTGTATGCATACCACATTTTAAAAGGTCCATTCATCCACTGATGGACAGAGAAGTTGATATCGTTATCTTTGCTGTTGTGAGTAATACTGCAATAAGCATGAAAGTGCATATATCTGTTTGACATACTAATTTCAATTCCTTAGAATATATACCCAGCAGTAGAACTACTGGATAATAAGGTAGTTTGATTTTTAATTTTTTTGAGAATCCTCCATATTGTTTTTCATAGTAGCTGTACTCATTTACATTCCCACCAAGTGTGCTAGGATTCTCTGTACATTCTTGCCAACACTTGCCATATATATATAATAGTACACTGTATAAATACTATGTATATATAGTATTTACTTGATGTATATTATTAAGTATTAACTTACATGATTGCAAGTTCCCACAATACGCTGTCTGTAAGCTTGAGGAGCAAGGAGGGCCAGTCCAAGTCTCAAAACTGAAGAACTTGGAGTCTGATGTTTGAGGGCAGGAAGCATCCAGCATGGGAGAAAGATGTCACAGTCTTGCCTTTTCACATGTTTCTGCCTGCTTTACATTCACTGGCAGCTGATTAGATGGTGCCCATCAGATTAAAGGCAGGTTGGCCTTCCCCAGCCCACTGAATCAATGTTAATCTCCCTTGGCAATACCCTCACAGACACACCTAAGATCAATGTTTTGCCTCCTTTAATCCAACCAAGTTGACACTTAGTATTAACAGTCACAATAATTTTTTATTTAATTTCCCTTTTCATTACCCTTCATTGACCCACTGGTTTTTTAGGAGCATGTTGTTTAATTTCTATATATTTTGAAGTTCTGTGGCTGATTTCAGGGGCTGTCAGGCTGGTGTTGAGTGCCTGCAGCTTTTCCAGGTGCATAGTGTGAGGTGTTGGTGGATATACCACTCTGGAGTCTGGAAGATAGCGGCGCTCTTCTCTCAGCTCCACTAGGCAGTGCCCCAGTGGGGACTCTGTGTGGGGGCTCCAACCCTACATTTCCCCTCCACATTGCCCTATTAGAATTTCTCCATGAGACCTCTGCCCCTGTAGCAGACTTCTGCCTAAAACAGACTTCCAGGTGTTTTCTTACATTGTTTGAAATCTAGGTGGAGGCTTCCAAGTGTCAACTCTGACACTCGGCACACCCACAGGCTTAACACCATATGGAAGTCACCAAGGCTTACAGCTTGCACCTTCTGAAGCAACAAGCCAAGCTGTACCTGGGGCAAATATAGTCATGGCTGGATTTGAAGTGGCCACAATGAAGGTTACCATGTCTGGAGGCTGCACAGAGCAGTGGGACCCTGGGCCTTGCCCATGATATCATCCCTTCCTCCTAGGCCTCCAGGCCTGTGATGGGAGGGCTGCCGCAAAACCTCTGAAATGTCTTTGCAGCATTTTCTCTATTATCTTGGGTATCAACGTCTGGCTCCTCTTTACTGATGCAAATTTCTGCTACTGGCTTGAATTCCTCCCTACGAAATAGGTTTTTTCTTTTTCTACCACATGGCCAGGCTGCAAATTTCCAAGCTGTTACACTCTGCTTTGCTCTTAAAAATAAGTTCCAATTTCAGATCATCTCTTTGCTCATGTGTAACAAAGGTGCTCTTGGCTCCAGCTCCCAATAGGTTCCTCATTACCATTAGAGAACAACCTCAGCCTGGTGTCTGGAGGACAGTGGCCTTCTTCTCTCACCTCCTCACAGGACTTCATTGTCAGCATTATCACTAACAACATTTTGGTCACAGCAATTTAACAAGTCTTTAGGAAGTTCCAAACTTTCCCACATCTTCCTGTCTTCTAATTTCTCTGAACTGTTCCAGCCTCTGCCTGTTACTGAGTTTCAAAGCTGCTTTGACATTTTTCAGATATGTTTATAGCAATGCCCCACTCCTGGTACAAATTTTTGAATTCGTCCATTCTCATATTGCTATAAAGAACTACCTGAAACTGGGTGACTTATAAAGAAAAGAGGTTTAATTGACTCACATTTCCGCAGGATGTACAGGAAGCATAGCTTGCAAAGCCTCAGGAAACTTATAATTGTGGTGGAAGGTGAAGAGGAAGGAGGCATATTTTAAATGGCTAGAATAGGAGGAAGAGAGAGGAGAGAGGTTCAACACACGTTTACACAACCGAATCCCATGAGAACTAACTCACTATCATGAGAACAGTAAGAGGGAAGTCCAACCCCATGATCCAATCATCTCCCTCCAAGCCCCTCCTCCAACATTGGGGATTACATTTGACATGAGATTTGGGCAGAAACACAAATCCAAACCATATCAATTGGTAAACTTTGACCTTCCTTTACCTGAATATTTGCATCTTTCTCAAGGTTTGGAAAGTGTTTTTGCTATAATTTGTTTAAATAAACTTTCTACTTTTTTATCTTTCTCTTCTCTTTCTTTAATTCCCATGACTCAAGTATTTGCCCTTTCGATGTTGCTCCATATATTCCCTAAGTTTTCATCATTCCATATTTTTAATTTTTTCTTGTTGTCTCTCACTGTATGTTTTCAAACAGCCAGTCTTCAAGGTCACAGATTATTTTTCTTTGCTTGATCAATTCTGCTGTTGATTTTCTCTATTGCATTTTTAATTACATTCATTTTGTACAAAGTCAGAATTTCTGTCTGACTTTTTAATTATTATTTCAACCTGTCTACTTCATTTCCTTTCTCCTGATTATTTATTGTTTTTCTCATTTAGTTGAATTGCTTATCTGTACTTTCTTGAAGTTTGCTTAGTTCCCTAAAACAGTTATTTTGAAATATTTGTTAGGCAAGTCATACATCTCCATTTATTCAGGGGCAATACCTGGAACTTTATCTGTCCCTTTGTAAATGTTGTGCTTCTCCTATTGTTCTTGATTACTATAACCATACATTGATGTCTGTGCATTTGAAGAAATAAAGTGGATCTTTATTCTAGTTTGTGCAGACTACCTTTGTCTGGGAAACCCCTTCAACAGTCAGACAGTCCAGGAATTCTGAGCAGACTGCCTACATGATCCCTGAGTTAGGGTCTACTGCAGTGTGCATGGTGCTGGGATACACCAGTGTGTATCGGATGCTGGAGTATGTCTAAAGCCCAGAGCTACTGAGGCATGCCTGTAGTTGAGGGCTGTACAAACTCCGGGGCCCTTGACATAAACCTGGCAGCAGTGCAATCTGGAATTTAGTTTGTCACACAAATCTGGAGCCAGTGGCTGCATGATCCTGTCTGGTGCCAAGGTATATCTGGAGTCTCAGTTAATGGGTACTAGCCTGAAGTCTCGGCCCACAGGGGCCTGCCTGATGCTGGATTTTACTGGAATAGGCCCACTGTTGGAATAGGCCCACTGTTGCGGTCCAAGGAAAAGTCTCATACTGACTCCTCTTTCTTTAACCTAAGCAGATATTATTTTTTGTGCGTGCTGTGCTGCCCGGGTTTAGAGCGGGGTTACATAGGTAATGTAAAAGTGCTCTTTCTACATTGTTCAATGTATCTTTTCTTACTATTGTGATACAACCAGATACTGTTATTTCATATCTGGTTTTCTTAGCTCTTGTGGAGTTGTTTTGTTCATGCATAGTTGTAAACATTGTTTCTGTAGGGAGACAATTGCTGCAGAGATCTATTCTATCTTGTGCTGCCCATACTTTAAATATATTATATATATTATAATATAATATGTTATATATATAACATATAATATATTTATTATATGATATATAATATATAATATATTTATTATATATTATATTATATATAAATATATGATATATTTTATATTATATATAATATATATTATTATATATAATATATTATATTATATATTATATCATTTATTATATAATATTTAATATTATGTTAGATAGATAGATAGATAGATTTGAATTGGGGGATTGAATTAGGGAAATAAAGACCCTCCACAGGTCCACTGTGAAAAGTGGGCAAAAGCATGGGTTAAAAGAGCATAGGCAAGTAGAATATTTGGTGGAGATAAATATTAGCAACAAAAAGTTGCCACTGTTAATCATTAAGAATAATAAATATTACAGTGAAATAGCCTTCAGCATTAAAGGGATGGTGGAGAGGACTTTCATTGCTGTTGCAAAAATGAATTGCCCGATATTGTTGGCAGGCTATCTAGCAAAACCAATTATACTTAAAATGCTAATAATGTTAGACTCAGGACTTTTATTTTTTGGCTGTGCATTCTACAGAAGTAAAAGCTCACATAGTAAAATACAAAAATGAGCATGCTTCTTTTCACCATATTTGTAGGTGATAATCTTGATGTCCATATAAAAGAGAATGACTAAAATTATTGTGAAATTTCCATATGTTGAATTCATATGCAAATTAAAAAGATTAAATCATATACATTTTTATTTACTTGGAGATATGTACCAGATGCACATTTTTATGTACATAAATCAAGTGTCAGGGAAAAGCATGTGTATGATCTTCTGTTTTTAAGAATAAACAATACCCTAAATATGTAAAACAAGTTGTGCATATGTGTTTAGTTATATAGGCAATTGAGTTTTGTAAGAAAAGTGACTCTGGAATGGTTTTCTGGCTCACATAATTACCAAATTTTATAAAATATTATTTTGCCGCATTCCTATACAAATTTAACACTGAGAGCAAAAGAAGAGAGAATTAGAGAATTACTAGATGATTTTATGTTACTAAATTTTCAACCAAACTTTTATTTATAGATTTGTTATTGGTTTGTTAAATGCATATCTTTCAAAATTTGTATCTATACCCAACCACATTTGGAATTTGTAAATTGTTATCAATATTTTCCAGAACTGAAAGATCTCTCTGTCTCTCTCTCATTCTCTTTCTCTTTCTGTCTCTCTCTCTCTCTCTATATATGTATGTATATATATGTGTGTATTTATATATACACATATATTTCAAAGGCATATATATATATATATACACACACACACACATAGAGAGAGAGAGAGAATTTTATACATAAATGTGTGCGTGTATATATATATTACTTTTTTTCCTAGTGGTATAAGAGTGAATTAGACTCAAAATCTCAAATAACCAGTTAAAATCACCCAGATTTGTGAAATTATCACATAATTAAATCTTGTGATTTTTTTCCCCTTCACATTCATATTTTTAAGTAGTTGAAAATTTTTAAAAGGTTAAATTACAGTAACATTTGGGTTAAGTGATCTGGAGTTGTTCATGGGTTTCCAGGTGAATGATTAATTAAAATCTGTTTTGTCAAAGAAAGACACAGATAGACATTAAGCAGTGAAAATAGATTTTAGTCAAGTAACTACTGACAATAGGGGAAATAACTGAGCTCCATTGCAATGTATGCAGAGGTCATTGTATAATTTAAGAAAGAGTGAGGGAGGTGTGTGAGCAGAGGCTCAGCAAAATCAGAGAAATGGGAAATTATAAAGGATTGTTCAGTGTAAGTGTGATTAGGCCACCTGTGTCTGGTGGCTGGCAATTATGGAAGTTATCCTTCCACGAAGTCAGACGAGGAGACAGAGGCCCTGCCCTTCGTCATGATTGTATTTCAAAGGTATGGCTTTCAGGTCCTTGAGAAAGACACTCCTGAGTTGTAGGAGATGCACATACATCTCAAAGAGGTGAAAGAAGAATTCATAATTGTAAACTCTTTTTAGTAAATGCTCTAAGAAAGTGAGGTAAGGGGACTCTGTCAGGTGTTCGCTAGAACAAGCAGTAAATTCTCCCACAACATTGAGCTTTCTCAGGCAAGTATTTTAATGGGGAGACAAGGTTCATCCTAGAGACACAGCCATATGCTGCTAGAAGCCATGCTCCAGTTTGCTCATCCCTTAGTGCAGATGTTTGGACAAAGCCACTGTGTGGCAGGATTTCTGCTGTTCCCAGTTTCAATTAATGAACAGTAATCTACAAACTTCCACTTTCTAAGCATAAGCATAGATGAAGGTAAGTACTTCCAAATTTTAATAACAATGAAACATTGTTTCCTTAACATATTCAACCATACTGATTAAGCATGGAACTCAATTTTATGAAATAATAAGCATTGAATTTAGCAGAATTAATTGATAGAAAGTTTTCTGACAGAAAGCATGTGCTTTCTTAAAATTTTTTCTTATTGTCTCAAAAATTAATTCAGATTTCCTCACATTTTTTACAGCCTCTTTATCTCTCTTTTATTCTAACAGAGTTTCATTAGATTTTACAAATGAATGAGCCTCTACATAAGTGAACTGAAGTAAATGTGGTTTGATTCAGTACTTCTCTTTCATTAGGCTAATGTGTATTAGATTACTTTAGTTAATCCAAATGTATAGAATTAAAGGAAGAAAAGACATCTATTTTAAACATTTGCAAATTTAAAAGTAGATTTGAGCTAAACTCCACATTATTAGTAAAAATTAAAAATATTGATGCAAGTATGACAGTGATTTTTTTCAAAAAATTATTAGTAACTATATAATGAAGTCACGTATTTAAACTCCATTTGCTAGTTTAATGTTTGCAGACGTATTGATAAAATACATTCAAGTCAAAGCTTTCTTAAAAAAATGATTTTGCAATTGTTTTCAGAGATACAAGAAAAAACTATTGATCTCAAAATGAATTGAAGAAAGCTGTTTTTAATCAATTTAATAAAATATTTCTGCTTATGTGATATTTCCCTCCATACTTTAGTGCTCAGCAATCATATCAGAAGGGTAGATAATGGGTTTCTAGCACTCTCTGGCTTGAGATGAATTGAGATAGTCACTGTTTACTTTGAAATTTATTTATGAATATGCAGGAAACCAAAATATTTCACCCCAAAATATACTTTTTGGCAGATTTCAAGATTCCTATTAAGAAGGGCAGAAGATAAAAAATAACTGAAAAATCTTTGTTTGTGGGGCATATTTGCAGGCATAGAGTAAATCTGTATTGATACAGCCAGGCTTTTCCTAAGGCCCTCCCTTGTCCAGATGTGGGGATTATTGTCTGAGAGTCTCATATCTTTAAAGGTCTGAAAAAAATACTTAACACCTGTTTTTTCTGAGGGCTGCTGCCTGCAAAATTTCATCTACATTCCAAAACTTCCTTTCCTAGCTAGGCCTCCTCTTCTCTCCCTCCTATAAACTGTCTTGCCCGATTCACCACCATAGCCTGTTTTGAGTCATGCTCTGAATCCCCATTCTTTCTGTAATATCAGGATGGTATATAAGCTTCGGTATCCCATTGAGGGGTTGCTGTAATCACTCTATGATTCTTACCCCATGCACACTAATATATTTGTATGCTTTTTCTCTTATTAATCTGACTTTTGTCAGTTGGTTTTTCAGCAAACCTTCAGAGGGCAAAGGGGAAGTTTCTCTTGGCCCCTACACATGTGTACACATATAATTGAATACAAATTTATAATGAGATAAATATTTTTAAGTTCAGCACTTTTCTTTTGCATAATAGTATATCTCTCAAGATAGTCCATATTGATAACCCAATTATTTAGAATTGTATAATTTTATTTAAGCTCACTTTATAGTTACATAACGTATGTCTAATATTATTGATATTTATGCTATTATACTATGTTCACTAATGCATGTTAATAAGGGCTTATTTTTTTTACTTTTGCTATCTGAAAATAACATATCACTAAAAATATTTTTGTATCTCACCTCTTCAGCAGTAGGTATAATTACTTGGTAGTGAAATTTAAGCACATTTCCATTCTGCAGCTGTGACACATGAAGCAATTGCCCTGGCCCTCAGATATCATTGATCTTCACAGTCTTAAGGACAACAAAGTTTCCAAGCATCTATTTAGCTCCTTCTTAATCTCATGGTGTCTGGGGATACCTGAGAGCATTAATATAATATTTTAATGTCAGCACTTTTCTTAGGCATGTTTGATTCTATGAAGGCCAAGAGCTCAGAAAATGGAAAATAAGCACATGAAAAGATGCTCAGCATCATAGTCATTACAAAAATGAAAATGAAGGTCACAGTGACACACCACTACCCACCGGTTATAATAGCTGCCATTAGAAAGACTAACCATAACATATGTTGTTAAAAATCTTGCCATGTTGAAAAACATTTTGCAAGTTTCAAAATATTAGCTATAAAACACCTCTGAATACCATTACAGTGGCAGTTAAATTTCAACATGAGATTGGGTGTACACACCATATAATGAAACCCTATCCAGAAATAACAGTAATAAAGTATTGATACACATACATTATAAATGAATCCCAAAATCAGTAATCTTAGTGAAAGAAGCCAGACAATAACAGAGTGCATACTAAATGATTCCATTCATATAAAATTCTAGAACATATGAACAATCTATAAAAACCAAAAGAGAAAGTAAACTAGTGGTTGCCTGAGAACTGTGGGATAGGTCAGTCAGGACCAGTGTGGAGAAATTGCTATGAGGCAGAAGCAATCTTTTGGAAGTGATTAATGTATTTATTATTTTGATTGTGATGATATGTGAAAATGTATCATATTATACATGTAAAATATGTACAGTTTATTATATTTTATTTTAGTGAAAAGAACAAGAAGCAATGTGTGTGCATGCCTCTATAAATTTGTTTTTGAAAAACGTTTTCTAAAACAAAAATGAACTACCTTTTAAAATTTGTAGGCATAGGCCAGGCATGGTGGCTCAAGCCCGTAATCCCACCACTTTGGGAGGCTGAGGTGGGTGGATCACCCGAAGTCAGGAGTTCAAGACCAGCTTGGCCAACATGGTGACACCCCGTCTCTACTAAAAATATAAAACTTAGCCAGGTGCGGTGGCAGGTGCCTGTAATCCCAGCTGCTAGGGAGGCTGAGGCAGGAGAATCGCTTGAACCCGGGAGGCGGAGGTTGCAGTGGGCTGAGATTGTGCCCACTGCCTGGGCTACAGAGAAAGCCCTTGTCTCAAAAACAAAAAAGAAAAAAGAAAAAAAAAGAACATTTGTAGGCAGACTGTTAAAAATGCAAAGAACAGTAGTAATTCTAAAATAATTTCTATTTTTAAAATACTACTTATTAAAACATTTAATAATAACCATATTTTTTCAGAATATGTGTTTGAATCACCTAATTATTAGAAAAGGACATATATATATATATATATATATATACACTTTATATATACATCTTCAAATCATCTAAATGTAAAGTAAATCCAAAAATAATACAATATTAAGCAAAATATATATATTTGTTTTTGAGACAGATTCCAGGCTGGAGTGCAGTGGTGCAATCTTGGCTCACTGCAACCTGCAGTCTCTGAGGTTCAAGTAATTCTCCTGCCTCAGCCTCCCACGTAGCCAGGATTACAGGTGTGAGCTACCGTCCTCGGCCCAGAAAAATAAATTTATTTTCATTTAAGCAATTTTATCTTTACAGTAAAATTTTCAGGATTAGAATCTCAGTTGCATCTCTTACTGGTGGTAGTTAAAACTTGGTATTGTCATCTAACTCTTCTGG
Source organism: Homo sapiens (assembly GCF_000001405.40). Lineage (NCBI taxonomy): Eukaryota > Metazoa > Chordata > Mammalia > Primates > Hominidae > Homo > Homo sapiens. Next base: position 136,446,516 of record NC_000004.12, on the reverse strand, counting down.
GGCTGATTTGTAAAATGAGAAAACTAGTATCTATCATATAATTGCTCAAGAAATAAAATTAACAAAGTTTTTAAAATATCCTAGCACATTCATTCTAATAAGCAGCAAATAAATGCAGTAATTATTTCATTTTTATTATTTTAATATAACCAAGCACAGTCTTCTTAAATTTTTAATTCTTTGTTTTATACCTTGTTTTCCATGATCCTCCAATTTGGGCAGTTGACTTTGTCACTTTAGACTTTTTGTCCTAGTAGGTACCTTGAGAAAATGAAGATTTATATAATTTAATTATGTATTTATATTTATTGACTCATTGTTTCAACAGAGTGCAATATAATGTATATAGAGGAAGGGACTATAGCTTTAATAAACTTAGATATTTCCATTAAATATCTTCAAGTCTGCTGAAGAGTTGTGAAAAGCATATGATAAAGTTCTTTGTGAATTAAGTAGTACAACCTGTATTTATAAAACAGATAAATTTTTTCACAAACAATGATTCAGAAAATGTAAGTTCTCCAAATCACAAACCACAGAGAGGGAGAAAACAAGCCAAGACATAGAATGTTTGTAAGAGAAGAAAGTACATGTATATAAATGATAGGATAACAGGCCATCAAAAAATAATTATTCTAATTAATTATATTGTTCATATATTTTCTAATTACATTTCCTAATTTCATATATTTAATATTAATTATAAAATTAATGTATTTCCTAATTTCATGTACTTTCTGGTGTCACCATGACTTTCTGGTGCCTCCTCAAAAATATCAGAACAAACTTGAAATGGAACAGCATCTAGTCATCATAAAATTTATAAATTTATTGTTATATTATTAAAATATTATTAAATATAATGGCATTGCTTTTACCATTTTCAAGCTCTTTGTAATATTCAAACCATTCCAAAAATGCAAAATTGGCTCTTAGTAAGGTTTATTAATTTAGAAAATTTCTATTTATACTTTGAAGAGCACTGGGACCACTCTTATTTATGTAAATATCATGTCATGAAGATACTCAAGTACAGGCATGTTTGAAAACCTATGAAATTGTCCAGAAAAAAATCTATCATTTAAATTCATAAAAAATCTATTAAAAATGTTTTTAGTTTGTTTCCAGGTTCAACAACACTTGAACAACTATTTGAAATGCATAATCTTATTATTTAATATGCTAAATAAAATTTTATGGGTTTAAGCAAAAAAACACATTATTGGATAAATACTCTAATAAATTTAATTATCATGTTGGGAGATGAAGAAGCAATGTGTCCAATTTTAAATATGGTAATTAAACTTTCCATTATAGCTTTAACATTTAGAAAATGTTGAGTTTATTATAATTATAATGAAATATTCAGCACAATTATATGAAGTTTAATAATTGATATCAGTGTATTCTCTTCATAACTCTATGGAATGTTGAAGAAAAGTAATTAGAATAAAGAAAGTATTTATACTGGGAGGTTAATGCTTTTATTAAGTTGGTGCAAGAGTAATTGTGGTTTTTCCCATTAAAAGTAATAGCAAAAATCACAATTACTTTAGTACCAACCTAATAAAATACATAGAAGACGTGAAATTTCAGGACAGGTGCTATTTGACATTGAACACTAAGAATGAGGACATTATTTTATGTTGATTGTAGTTATTGGACAAAAAACTTCAACTTTTTGAAAGTTGATTAGTTTCACTTTATAGCCTACACTGATAGAGTTTGAGTCTTCTAAATACCTCAGATTTTATATATCAACTTGCATTAATAGTAAGTTGACTGGAGTACAGGTGAATGGCAAAAGGAAATCATTGTCATTGTGAAAAACTGTAAAAAAGACATATATATTATTGTTTTTCTTTCATGATTCTTTTCAAACGGAACATTCTTTAGGCTTGATTAGGATTTAAAAAATTATGATTTTTTAATAAATTTGAGAAAAGTTCCCATGGCAAGTGAAGAATATTTTGAATTAAATTTTACAACAAAGGTAAGAGTTTTTTTTAGCAATGGTATTATTTTATAGATGAATACAAAAAATAGTGAATATTCATTATCATAATTATTTTATATCATATGTGTTTCTATTAAGACATATATATATATATGTATATTTTTAGGCCAATATCTTTCTTTTACATATCATAAATATATTATTTAACAATATGAATTTTTACTCATACATGCTTTTCTATGTCTGTATCTTTCCCATGTCCATATCTTTCTCTTTAGATGCACCTTATTTTTAAAATATCTTATTTCATAGACTGTAATTTTTTTCTTTTTCTTTTTTATACTATTATTTATGTATTTATTTTTGAGACAGTCTCACTATGTTTCCCAGCTGGAGTGCAGTGGGTATTCACAGGCTTGATTATATTGCACTGCAGCCTCAAACTCCTGGCCTCAACCCATTCTCCTGCCTCAGTCTCCCAAGTAGCTGACAGTTGTATGCCACTGTGCCTGGCATAGTGCAATGATTTGACAAGTCTCATTTAAATAGACATTTAGACTTAAAATTTTATTTTGCTTTTGTAAACAGTATTATAAATCATTTTATATAAATGTCTGTGAATGTCTATACAACAATTTGTGCAGGCCAAAATAATAATCAAAGAATATTGGTAGCAGTGTGGCATTTACTAGCACATAAAATTTTTATATTTGCACAGCCAAATTTCTATTTAGAATGTCCTATGATCTCTCCTTCAAGTTTTTTAATGTATCATTATATTCTCTTGCTTATAAAGGCTAGAGATGGTAACAAGAATGTAGCCAGATCAACAAAACTGAGAAGTAAGTATCCTTTTCTTTACAATCAAATCCTTCTACCTCTGTAGGCATATCTTTATGAGATCTTTCTCTCTCTGTAGGCAGATCTTTATAATTAATTTAAAATTAGCAGATTGTTTGCTTCTAATTTTTGGAATTAGACAAGAGGGGTTAAATGTGTCAACATTTTAATGACACACTCATATATATTCATTTCTCTAGTATGTCAGTATGGACTCACATACTAGAATTCTGTTGACTTGTGGTCCACTTACCCTAGATAATATTTGTGTAGATGTTAACAGTTTTTGTTTATAAAGCTATATATTTATCTCCAAGGTTGACTAATCTTTGTGCATGATACATTACTTTCCAATATGTTAATACAGTCTATTAGGTTAAATTAGGTATTATTGTTACGAGATCTTTGAGGTGTTGCTTTTCTTGCTCGAAACCTCTATGCAGCAGCTGCAGTGGGGTGGACAGCTCCAGGCACCAACATGTGTGCCAGCTGTCTGCAAGGCTCACTTGGACAACGTGCACCACAAGCAGCTTCCACAGCTAGCACTGGGGAACACAGTGGTGCCCAGAAGCTTGGAGACACCAAGAGTCACAGGGATCCAATGAGCAAGTCACAGCTCTGTCTTGGGGAGTTCCCGGGTCTGGGCTCCCTGAAGAGCTGCAGCTCTTCTCTCCTCTTTGCCCACAGTGTGGTGAGCAAGGGGTGTGTCTCAGCCCTGTTTATGTTACAGCTCTTTTAGCTTTGCCATTTGCGGGGGTCCCAAGTTCTTGTCCTGCGACCGGGAAGAAGGAAGTACACAGACAAGTGGAGGGTGAGCAAGAGGAAGAGGAGCTTTATTGAGTGATAGAACTGAAGAGACGGGACCTGCAGGAGGTAGCTCCTTTCTGCAGCTAGGGTGTCCCAGCAAGTGTTTAGCTCCAAGCAGAGAGGGTAGCTCCTCTCTGCTGCTGGTCATCTGATTGTCTGGCTGAGCCCTGGGCTTTTATGGGCATCACAGAGGAGGATGTGCACATCTATGGATACGTGAGCAGCCATGGGCAGGCCTGGAAAAGGCACCGTAAGTTCTCACTGCAGTCGGCCGGATGGGCAGCCCAGGCCCAGCCTTCAGGCCCTCCTTGGCTTGAAGGTGAGGCCTCACCAGGGACCTGCACCCTTCCTCCGAGGAGCCTGTCTGCCTCCTGCCACCATCCATTTTGTGCAGGCTGCTTGTGCCAATGGGCACCTGCAGGATTGCACTGAGCCCCCTTTTGCCCCTACTCCCCATGCTCATTGTTGCCCAACATCCAGAGGGGACTGAGGTGGCAGGGGTCTGGTGTGTCAGCACTCCCCCAAGCATGCACAAACGCATCCAGGCTATGACAGCACCTTGGCTTGGCCCCAACCTGGCTCCAAGATCAAAGCAGGCACTGGGAGTGAGGAGAGGCCAGGTAGCGGGAGCAGACAACCACAAGTCTGCAGGGGTAGGGGAGCCTTCCCAGGCTCCCAGGGGTGCAGAGAGCAGAGAGGTTCTGGGCCTAGGAGGGTCCTGTGCTTGGAAGGGCAAGACTCCCTCCTACTCCATGGAGCACGCAGGCAGCCCTCCCCATGCCTCCTGGCAGCCTGGGTTGGGGACTCCAGGTCTTTGCTTGGCTCCTCTCCACCCATCCTTCCATGCCCAACTGTGCTGCTCCCCCTGGCGTCCTCATGTCGGTCCCCAGGGCAATGGGCTTTATGGGGGTGGTTGCTTGTCTCTGGGTCTCAATGACTTCATGGAGCCCATAAGCCCAGCTCTTCCTCCTCCCCATGCCCTCCCCACAGCTGTGGCAGGCAAGAGTGAGGAGGCTCTGGGCCTGGGGGCAGGTCCCACATTTCCACCCAGCTCTGTGAGGGTGGGGGTGGTGCAGTCAGCTGCCTTGGGGATGCAGGGTACAGGGGACCCCATGCTGCCATTGCTGCTCCTGTCACCATCACTCACATCTCTCCACTGCAGCCGACGTGGTGGCAGCAGCCACTCCTGATGGCCAGTCGCTGCCATCGTTATCTTTCTGTAAGATAATTTTCCTATATCAACTTTTGTTCACAGCATAATTATTTTGCAGCTTTTATAATACAATCTTTATCCAAAGTCTAGAGAGAAGCACCATTGAAATTCCAAAGTGCTGATAACAGATTCAAAGATGAAATCAGGATGGAATATAATTTTAGAGACAGATTTAACAGATAAATTTCCACCTGCTTAGGGTATCTTGGTGTGGAATAAAGATGAGAAGTGAAGGAAAAATCTTATATTAATTTTTCTTGTTTACATTTTATATTATTTTGGAATTTAAAAAATGGATTGGTCACAATATTATTTAGAGAATAATATATATAAAGTGTATCCAGTTACTTACATGTACACTCTTGTTGAAATTTTTGTTCCCTAATATTAAGTCATAAAATATTTATGTGAATTCTATTTCACCAAAGTGAGAAACAGAAACTGCTTTTCAGATTCACTCATTCACTGGGAGTCTAAAACTTTGGGAAAATAAATAATCATCGTCTGTGCTCATCATGACCTGTGGATTTTAGTGGATCACAATATAAATAGCCAAATTTTCTCAAAGTAATGATGCCACAACAAGATTAAATGATACGCATGAACAGCAGAATTGCAGGTTACAAAGAAAAGGTCCACATTTTACCCTAGACCAGGAATCAACACAAAAGCCTATTATGAGCTCTATTCAGCTTCCACTGCCATTTTATCTATAAGCCTTAATTATACTAAATAATTTTCTGTTGCTCAACACAATATAATCACATTTCAGGCCTTTTGTATAAGTTATCTGTGCTTAATGTTTCACATATTTTCATTACCTACTTCTTCAAGCTGGTTATCTTTTCTCCAAACTCTACTCCAATTCCATTTCTAAAAGATGGCTTGAGATACTCAAATTCCGTTGACTTATGCTCAACTTACCCTAGATGGTATTTATATGGATGGAAACAATTTTTGTTTCTATAGTTCTACATTTTTGTCTCCAAGGCTGACTAATCGTAGCTCATGATACATAATTGCCCATGCTAGATGCTGCTATTCTAGCATCCTGTGCCTGCATTCATTGTGTTGTAATTAGCTCTACTTTGTCACCAACTATGTAGATACAGAGATGACCATCTTCTTTATTGCTTCCTAACAAACATCACAGTGCTTAGTATACAGTATTCATTTATTAAAATAAAAAATCAATCAAATAAACTGAATGAACAAATGAACATTACTACTCGTTTCCAACCTCCAAATTATTTAAGATTTTGGTTGCATTTAAATCACATGGCTATTAGCATGAAATACCTTTCTTATTTTATTTATACATGTGTATACACAATCTCCTCATTGTACAGATGAAAAAAATTGGGTTAGAGACATTAAGAAAATGTATGCAAGATCACAGTTTGCTGCTAGAATTTTTTGCTCTAATACAATACATTTTCAGTATGCTTTTATACATCTGTTTGTATTCCTAATCAAAATTTTAAAACTATAGAAAATTAGAGTATATCATCTTGTCTTTCACTAATATGGTTGATCTCTGACACAGGTTCTGGTAGCTCTCGTGTTTTAATTGAAGCATTATCTGCAATCATAAATTTAAAATAAAATGTATTGCATAATTTAATATTTCTCTGTAAAAATTGCAAAATAAATTGCCTAAATTCATATGAATTTTTCAAAATAATGCCAACAATTTCAAAGATTATTATGAATATTGTTCTTATGTTAGTTTGGATGCTTGTAACTTTTGGAAATAAGAAACTTCAGTATTTTAATGGTTGTAAACAATATATATTTATATTGTGTGTATGAATGTTGTGGCTTTCTTCTACTTTATGTTTCAGAGCAAGACTCATTTCTTCTGTGGTGCTGTAGCCATCTTATATTTTTATTTTTAATTTCACAATAGAGAAAATATAATTAATAATCAGTAACAACCATCCATTTCTTTTAGTTCAAGTTCACTAGTGTTTTCCTCTACATTATTGAATCTGTCTTTAACCACATCCAGTGTATTTTTCACCTCAGATATTATAGCCACTGTGTTGAAAATTCCAATTTGAATCATTTTTTGCTATCTTATATAGCTCTACTTAACTTTTAAACACATGAAATGCAATGTGACACATTTTAATATTCTTGCCTGTTAATCCTAACATATGTACATCTGTGTCAGTTAAGAGTTGAGTTTAATTAGTTGGCTTTTCTTCTCATTATAGGTCCATTTTCCTGCAGCTTTAAATGCCTAGTAATTGATTGCATGTTTTGACTTTTATGTGTGTGTAACAGACAATTTTGGATTTCTATACTCGGAAGCTTTGTTTTGATATGCAGTAAAGTTACTTGCAAACCTTTGATTATTCTTAGTCTGGCTTTTAAGATTTGTTATAGAGGACAACAGTGATTAATCTAGGGCTAATTATTCACCACTAAGAGATAAGACTAATCTGTGTACTCCTCTCAATGCCCCTTGAATTATTAGGTTTCCAGTGTGGTTGGTGAGAACAGACACTGTTCCTGGCCCTGTGCAAATTCCAAGTACTTTTCCTCTAATCCTTTTGGATGGTTTCTTCCCAAGCCATGGGTAGTTCCCTCTTAACTACTCATGTTCTGAGCACCACTGTGATGAAAACTTGAGTGGAAACCCTGTGTAGAACTTGAATACCACAGATTATAACTTTAATCTTTCTGATTATTTGTTTATGTGGGACAGTATATTTGGTTCCTATTATTCCACCTGGGCTGGATGCACAAATGATGTTAAAGAACTAAAGTATCCTTAATTGTTAAAAAGAAACACAAAGGCCTTATGAATAATAAATAAGTACATTGTTATTATCTATAGGAATGCTGACTAAGTGATTTGATAAAATGAGCTTGGTACAAGGAAAGACATCACTATTTTGCCAATTATGTGATCAGCTTCCTCACTCAAGGCAGTTCAGATACTGGAAATAACATTATTAAGGATGTAATCTGTGAAATCCAAATAATATATAGCTCCCAAAATATTAGGAGATTTAGTTTATAGTCTTTGCTCTACCAACTTATCTATCATCTGTCTACATATCTATCTATCTATCTATCTATCTATCTATCTATCTATCTATTCATCTGTCTATTCACCCATCCATCCATCTTTATTAGTCGTGATTCCCTGGAGAAACAACAGAAGTAGGATTTATATACAACTGACCCTTGAGCAACACAGGGGTAGGGATGCGGAACCCCCCACACAGTCAAAAATCAATGCATGACTTTTGAGTCCTCAAAAACTTAACTACTGATAGCCAACTGTTTACCAGAAGCATTATCTATAACATAAACAGTTGATTAGCATACATTTTGTGTGCTATATGTATTACACACTGTATTCTTAGAATGAAGTAAAAAAATGAAAAAGGAAAATGCTGTTAAAAAATCTCAACAAAGAAAAAATGTATTTAGTATTAATTAAGTGGAAGCGTATTATCATAAAAGTCTTCATCCTCCTCATCTTCATATTGAGTAGGCTGAGGAGGAGGTGGAAGAGGAGGGGTTGGTCTTACTATCTCAGAGGTAAGAAAATTTATGTATGAGCGGATGTGTATTTTAAACATGCCTTGTTCTAATGTCAAGTGTATAGTTTCATATATATGTAAATATGGATATATATATGATGGATCATGTGTATCATGATTCATATATACCTATACCCAGTGTATAACACATATATACACACATAGATAGATATGAGAGGGATTTATTAGGGGAATTGGTTCATACAATTATGGAGACTGACAAGTTCCCTGATAGGCTATATGCAAACTGGAGAGCCAGGGAAGCTGGTAACATGGCTCAATTCATTTCCAAAGGCCTCAGAACTGGGAAAACCAATGATATAACCCTTAGTTTGAGCCTGAAGGCCTGAGAATATGAGAGCCACTAGTGCAATTCCTAGAGTCCAAAGGTTGAGAAACCTATAGTTCTAATGTCCAAGGGCAGAAAAAAGATATCTGAATCCCAGAAAATGACAGAACAAATTTGCCTTCACTCTGCTTTTTTGTTCTGTTTGGACCCAAATTGGGTGGTGGCCACCCACATTGGTTAGGGTGAATCTTCCTTCCTCAGTCTGCTGATTCAAATGCCAACCTGTCTCAGAAACACCCTCACAGACATACCCAGAAATAATGCTTTACCAGATATCTGGGTATCCCTTAATCCAGCCAAGTTGACACCTAAAATTAACTGTTTAATTGTTATTAACAGTTAATTTTATTGTTAATAAAATTATAAAATAAAATAAATAACAGTTAATGTTATTAACATTTAATTGTTATTAACAGTTAATACATATGTATGTATGTATGTATCTATCTATCTAGACCCAAAGGTGAGTAATGTTCTTTCTCTTGTCTTTAGCTTTCCCACATGTAAATACGGTAGGTTGAATTTTACAATCTCTGAAATTCCTTATCAGTTTTACCTATTCTACTAATTCTGACAATTTTTCCTCAGTATGTGGCTGCAAAATCTAAAGGAAATAATTATTTTAAAATTGTGGCTTTTTAAACAATTACCTGCAAATATACTGACCTATCATTGAGAGGCAGTGTCTGTGTCTCCTGCCCTTGTGTGTGGGTGCACTATAACTGTTGCAAGCAATAGAGAGTAATAGAAGTTACAAGACTTCCAAGGCTAAGTAATAAAAAGCCATATAGCTCCTGCCTCATCTTGGGTTCACGCTGTAGCCCTAGCTGTAAGATGTTTGACTATCTTAAGACTAACATCTTCTGAGGGTTTCAAGCCACAAGGAAAAGTTTTGTATAAAGGTTCTGATGGAGAATTCTAGCTGAGTTGAATCTTTAAGTTATTCCAGCCTAGATGGTTTCAGATTTCGTATAATCCCACCTGAAGCTCTAGACATAACAAAGAGGAAACAAAAGTGACAGAAGTTTTGGAGTGTTTCTGTTATACAACAATAGCAATCAGATCAGTGGTGAAAAAAGTTAGTATTATCACTATACTGAATTGATATACAATTATAGAGTTAAAATTTTAATAGTTTTTCCTTTCAACAAATTTAAACCAACAAATTTTACATTCAATTAAGATAACCTCACTGATAGCCTTTAATTGAAAATTTTAAATGTTTAGTTATATTTATGCTGAAAACAAAAGCAAAGTGAAAGAGAAATAGCCTACATCCTGTGTAAAGTTTTTTTATTTTTTATTTTATCTTATAAATTTACAAGACGTGGTGTTACTATTAAATATAGTATTGTATTCAGCAGAAAGTTGCAGAATATGCTGCAGCTATCAGGAATGATTGGATGGATTTCAGCTAGAAACTATGTTATTACATATATTATCAGAACCTGATGAGTAGCTGATATTTCATTTTCAAAAAATCACATATTTTATAAAATAATAAGAGCCATATCAAGATAATGAGAAAACATGGAACATAGTTACTATAGCCTAGCCAATAGGAGAGAGACTAGTTATATGTCAGCAATTTTTAATTCAACTCATTGGTTATATTTTTATTTGAAATTTGAAAAATGATTCACAGTAATTTTCTCTAGTGGCTTCACAAGGAAATTTAACTTGACTTCTTTGATTCAGTTATTTTTCACTCTCAGTGCTGAAATATACAAGGGGCTTTGGAATTGCCTACAAACTCAATACAAGAATACATGGAAAGGTAGAAAATATATAGCAACCCCTCACAAAATTGTGTTTATTACTAGATGTCATTAACTTTTGCTGAATTATGTATGTTGGGCCTTGAAATAATTAATACCAGGGAACATTTTATTTTTAGAAAAGAAACATTTTCTTTTAAGCCCCTTCTTTCACTTTGGTGAAGTTTAGATTTCTATTGAATTAAATTTCTTACAGGATAAGAGATGTTAGCTAGCTTATCTTATTTCTAGTATTTCATCTACTATAAATATGTTCAGTAGAAGTTGTACGGTTTCTACATCCTGCATATACATAATATACTCCAGGCAATCCTGCATGAACATAATGTATGCCATAATAGAGACCTAAAGTACTCCATTGGATTTTGAGACATACGAAGGCACAGCTTCTATTGCTTGCATCTTTTGAACCCCAGAGAATAAAAAAAAATCACAAATATCCACATTTAGGCATTTAAAAATATATATTTGAATGAAAGAAGAGATGTGTAAATTCATAAAGTACTTTCCTTGTTTACTTTTACCACCTGCTTTTTATTTGGTATTTCCTCAACTCATGTAAATGTTTTCTAATGTGATATTAAACATGAATCCATAAAACCCAACCTCATAATAACTAGATTAGAAACTAAGGAAATTGGGTATATCTGGAAGCCAATATATAGATCAAGAATAAACACAAGTCAAACAAACAAAAATATCTGAGGACTAGGAGAATTTTATTTTATTTTTCCCATATAAGAATATATGCCGATCAGCACACTCTCCAAAAGTTAAATTTACAATGTTAAATCACATATACGCATTCTTTTAACTTATAATTAAGATAAAAAGATGCCTCACAAGTAGGGGGAAAGATTTATGAACTTAGGGTTTCTTTGTTTCCCTATTGCCATCCAGTGACTGACTTTGTTTGTTTTTTTTTTTTTGAGGTCATCTTCAAATCTTTAATTGAATTTTCATTTTAGATAAAATCACATATTTTCTAAGCTTCTTTCAATGTGGGCAATCTATGGCTGATATTAATTACCAGAAGATCAGATACGTTTTTGTATGAGTTTTTTGACTTACTTTGAATTGCATCAAACCTCTCTACTTTGGAGGCTGATCTAACAAGGGTGAAACTAGGCTATGCCTCACAGAGAAGAAAAAAGGAGAGAACTCACCCCAGAGAACTAACATTTCACAGCAGGAAGAGTTTATATGGCAAAACAAATGCATTATTCTTCTCATACTAGTAATAAATTTTACTGTGGAAAAAGATAAAATGCAAAAAAGGTTGAAAAGAAAGTAATCATGAGTAATGGTACCATTTAAAAATAAGTGTTATGTATTTTTTATACATAGATTTGCCATCAAATTTATATTGTAAAATAGAATAACCTGAGAGTGCTTTTAATTATGCTAGTGAAACAAGCATAAAGCACGACTAACCAGGGCCAACTAGGATCCATGTTCCTCCTATTTATGTGTTCGCATGTGGCTTATGTATGAGATCATAAAAATATAAAATCTCATAAATGCATTTTCATTTTAACAACTCTATCTCATTTAATAGTATTGCATTAAAAATGTACCTGGACTGGGTGTGGTGGCTCATGCCTGTAACCCCAGCACTTTGGGCCGCCCAGGCAGGAAGATTGTTTGAGGCCAGGAGTTTGAGATCAGCCTGGGAAACATGGTGAGACCCCAACTCTTCAAAATCTTTAAAAATTAAAAATAAAATGTACCTGAATTTATTAAAACAAAGACAAAAACTACTGAGCACTAATATAATTTCTATTTTATGGCATTACAATTAACATTCCTGTAAACATAAGTTCATTGCTATTTGTCCATGTGATGATTTGTTATGAATAAATTCTCATTAGATATCAATACTATGACAAAAATTCTACATTTTGAACATATTTTATACATTTAACCAAAGTGATCCTCAAGACAGCTGTTAGTTTATCATTCCCAAGAAGTATATGAAAAGTCTAGCACTCATACCCATTCTCCAATATTTATTGTCACTTTTCTTAATTATACCAAAGTGATCATTTTCATTGTAATTAATTTTTAACTTATAATGATACTGAATTAAAAATAATTTCCCAGTCTTTTGTATTCTTTTTTCATATTCACTGGATTTACTTTCTGAGTATTCATTTATTCTTAAGAATTTGAGTTTGAAAAAGGTAATTTTAAATATATTAAATGTGTACATATGTGTGTGTTTATGTGGAGAGAGAGAAACAGATTAAACAATCCTGAGTGAACAGTCACAGTACAGAATTGGGACAAATGGGCAATCCAAAAACAGTCTTCCCATAGCTATCTTTTACAAACCTTGCAAAATCCTGAATTTTCTGGAGCCTATACAGCAGCAAGTTCCCAAGTCTCCATCCAATAAGCACAGAATGTTTTAATCACAATCTTTTAGGCATGTATAACTAGAAAATTAAAACAAACATATTTTGCTTTGTAAAAAATTCAGCTACCAATAAAAAAATCATTTAGATAAAACTACTATGCATAGGGTATATATTAATATTACAAATATTATTTCCTTTATTTTATTTTAATTTTAATTAATTAATTTATTTATTAAGATGGAGTCTCACTTTTGTTGCCCAGGCTGGAGTGCAATGGTGCGATTTCATCTCACCGCAACCTCCGCCTCCTGGGTTCAAGAGATTCTCCTGTCTCAGTCTCCCGAGTAGCCGGGATTACAGGCATGCGCCATCACGCCTGGCTAATTTTGTATTTTTAGTAGAGATGGGGTTTCTCCATGTTGGTCAGGCTGGTCTCGAACCACCGACCTAAGGTGATCCGCCCGCCTCGGCCTCCCAAAGTGCTGGGATTACAGGCGTGAGCCACTGCCCCTGGCCTCCTTTATTGAAAAACAGTAAGATAATAGTAATTATGTCCATACAGCCAGAAAATCTGATTGACACAAATTTGATTATGTTCTCTGTTTTAGCATGATTTGGAGCTCCTTGGAGTGTGTCTACGTGTTTAAAATAAGGAGATATGAAATTTCTTCGTGTCACAATGTTTTAATACAAAGCCCATCTTAGCAATCAGAAATATAAGGCATACTTGCAATATTTGTGTAGAATTGATGTCTGTGAAACATGATTAAACATTTGAATGGATTTGTCATTCAAAAATAAATTCAAAGTTCAAAATAAATGACAGTTCAAAAATAAAATATATTGTTTATTATTTAAGAAGTAAATAAAATTTTGGTAAACTTACTCTTTTTTTTAGATCATGCAATTGATAGCTGAGATAGGTGGACATTAAAAATGAATCTGTAAGACTGGTCAATGTTCAAATATTTAAACGTCAGAAAGGAAAAATTGTAAAACTCATATTTCTGTTTTTTCATTTCTACTACCCACTCTTCCCCTGCCCTCCAAATATTGTGTCTACTGAAGAAAATAAGAAAAGTATCATTTAGGCTATTGGCCAGAAGGAGTCTATGAAACCTTGCTGAATGGGTCTATTTTCCATGTTTGTTGTGACAACCAGAAAATAGCTTGGAGAGTAACTGCTTGTTCCTTACGGGCAACAATAGTGTGCTTAAGTTCTTAGTGTTGTGAAGTTTCCCTTTTTGTAAGGTGCTTCTTATAAGAATGAGATAAACCACCAGAAAACCTTGTCTTTTTTATGTTTGCAGGGCATTTCTCTGTCTGAATGTTTTAAAATTTATTTTAGGACTCCTGTAGTAACTAACGTTGTCTTTATCAAATCAATTCTGATTACAAAGGGACAGAAAGATAGGCCAAAAAAAATGTTGTGATGTTTTCAAATTTAATTTCGTTGTGGTCAAAGAACACATTCTGTAAGCTTTCAATCTTTTCAAATATGTAGAGATATATTTTAAGACCCAGAATGTGGTCTATGTTGGTGAATTTTCTGTGTCCCTGAAAAGAAAGTATTTTGAATTTGTTATGTTACTGATGTACAAACATTTATTAGGTTGATTCTTCTATATCCTTAGTGTTTTTTGTGTGTGTTCTTTTTGAGTTGAAGTATCTATTACCAAATGAGTAAAAAAACTCCAGTTTTGATAGTGGATTTGCTCATTTTCTTTTACTTTTACCAGATTTTGCTTCATGTAGTTTGGTTGTGACACATTTAGAAGTGTATGTCTTTCTGAGTAATATTTTTAACATTATAAGATATTCCTCTTTATTTTTGATAACACTCTCTTTTTGAGGTGTACATTGTCTAATATTAATAGTGTATAGGCACAATGGTCTTCCGATGTACACTGTTTGACTATGTATATTTTCTCCGTCAATTTACTTTAATCCTATCAATGGCATTATAAAGTTTTTCTTTGGTAGACAACATGTATTGTGCTGTGCACTTCTATATGTTTGTTTGGAATGCTTAGTCCATTTGTATTTAATGAAATTATTCACATTATTCAGTTTAATTGCTCTTATTGTGCTATATATTTTCTTTTTGTCCCATCTAATTTAATTATTCTCTTCTTGATTTCTTGCCTTGTGTTAATTAAATATTTTTCATATACCCTTTTAATTCCTCTAATTACTTTTTTAGCTACATCTCTTTGGATTGTTTTAAGTAGTTGCTCTAGTGGCTACAATATGCATTATTAATACATCAGAATCTATATAGACTTTAAGATAGCTCTACTTCATATAAAATATAAGAACCTTAGAATAGTGTAATTCCATTTACTATTTCTGATATTCATGATATGCTTGTCACAAATTTTACATGTATGTTTACTAAAAACTGGAGCATGAAATATAACTATTTTTTCTTCAGTTATTTAGCTCATGTATTTTGTTTCCACAAATCCACATTTTTATTTAATACCATCTTCTTTCATTCTGGAAAAAAATTATTTAGCAGTCTTATGCTGCTGGTCAATTGGTGTCAAATTCTCTTAGCTTTTGTTTATTTGAAGAAGTTTTATTTACTTTTTTTTCCACTGATTTTTGAAGGATATTTTCATTAGATACAGAATCTTGGTTTACCAGGTTTTTTTTTTCTTTTAAGCACATTAAGTATATAATTCCATTGCTTTATAGCCTCTGTTGCTTCTGAAAATGTCTGCTATTGTAGACATATTTCTTCTGCTAAATGAAATATGCTTACCTGACTTCTTTCAAATTTTTGTTTGTTTGCTTCACTTTTATCATTTTGACAATGGTTTGTATAGGTACATTTTTCTTCATTTTTTTTTTTTGTGTGTGTGTGTGTCTTTGGTCTTTTTGCTTCTCCAAGTTTGTGGGTTTTTTGCCAAGTTTATCAGAACTTCAGAAATAACTCTTCAAAGGTTATCTTACCTTATTGTTTCTTCCATTTTGGGGGAATACAATTATATTTTCATCTGTTTGCTGTTTCCCCAGAAGCCACTGAAGTGTGTTCATTTTTACTGAAGTTTTTCCTCTGTGCTCTTTCATTTTGGATGATATCAGCCTTTATTCTGCTGTGTCCACTTTTCCATATTGACTATCTAGTAAATTTTTCATTTCAGAATTATGTGGAAAACTAGTATTAGAATTATCACTTAATTTATTATTTTTTGTTAACAGTCCCTGCAGTTGGTTAGAAAAATGGAAAATATTCACTAAGTATATAAAGAACTCGAATTTTGCTGGTGAGCTTTGGTCTGTTGTAGAGAAAATTTGGTAAAAAAATATATCTTTAAAATATTTTAGTTACATTTAAATAGTATATTTATAGATAAACTGCCCTAATACTTTTAAATATATGGTTTTTTTTCATAAAAAGATTCTAATTTTCAGGAGAATAAAACCAGCTCTGCAAAATGTCATCTTATAGGAGCATACTGTTTGAGCTGGTCTGTTCACTTGTGGCAAAAAGAAGTCTCCAGCTGATTCTTTTGATTTCCCTGGATGGTTTGTTTGATTACCCTCATATGGATAATGCAAAAACCATATGGGGGGGAATTTACTCCTTTCGTTTTTGCAACTAAAGCCTGCTGAGATGCTTAGAGCTTACAGCTTGTAAGCAAACAAGAAGGAAAGCCACACAATTTTTATTTCACTGCAAAAAATAGACTTTGTATAATAAAACACAAAATGAAAAAAAAAAGAACTTTCTGGCATTAGGGAACACATAATATCATTTGCCTGATATTTGACTTTTCTAGTTTGTTTCTTGTGTTAGTTTTGATTCTTTGTTAGTTGGTTTACTTAATATCTCTTCATTTATGTTTCTTCATTTGATAATATTTCTTCACAAGACTAATGCAACCTTGCAAAGCATATATATTTTTAATTTATTCATTATATCGTATGTGAACAATAATAAAAACCAATGTACTAGTCCATCCCCAAATGTCAAAAACACATTTATTCATTTATGAATTTGTAAATTTTATTGCACGTGTAATGTGTGCAAGGTAATTGTATTAGTCCATTCTTGCATTGCATAAAGAAATACCTGAGACTGTGTAATTTATAAAGAAAAGCGGTTTAATTGGCTCAAAGTGCCACAGCTGTACAGAAAGCATGATGCTGGCATCTGCTTGGCTTCTGGGGAGGTGCCAGGAAACTTAGAATCCTGAAAGAAGGTAAAGGGGGAACAGGCACGTCATATGGCTGGTGCAGGAACAAGAGAGGGGGTGAGGTGGGAGGTGCTGCACAATTTTAACAACCAGGTTAAAACCAGGTCATGAGAACTCACTATCACGAGAACAGCACCAACAGGATGGTGCTAAACCATCCATGAGGAACTACTGCCATGATCCAATCACCTTCCACAAGGCCCCACTTCCAATATTGTGGATTACAATTTGACAGGAGATTTGGATGCAGGGACCGATACAAAACATATCATTACTACTTCAGTTTTAGGGATTCCGTGATAAGCAATAGAGAAACATCACTTGTCATCATGGGACAGTGGAAGACAATTATTTTTACTATGATTTTAGGTAGGAATAAGTTTAAGTACTATGGAGGAAATAGAGCAGATTAATAGAAATACATCATAAATAGATTTGCTATTCTCTGACACCAACTTGGTATCCCACCATTCAATTTAGTTCCAATACTATCTGGTATTAGCACAGACCCCACAGGTGAAGGGCTCTGTCCTACAAGACTGCTCCCACTTTAGACACCAGTTTAAGTCCTGGGACACCTATACTTCTGACAGGCTATAAATTGGGGATTTCTGTGATCATCTCCTAAGGTTCTATTTTCCTAGAATGATTCATATAACTCAAGAAAACACTTTATTACATTTACTAGTTATTATAAAAATCACAACTCATGATAGAAAAATAGAGGACATGCATAGGATAAGGAATGGGGGTAGGGGATGGCTATACTACCCTCCCAGCACTCTACATGTTCAAAAATGGAATCTCTAAGTCTGATGTTTAGGGTTTCTTTATGGAGGTTTCATTATGTAGTCATGACTGTTTAAATGATGGGCCATTAGTGATTAAACTCTATATCCAATCCCTCCCATCTCCCCAGAGGGGTTGAGGTTGAAATTTCCTAACATCTGATCATGGCTCGGCCTTTCTGACCACCAGCTGACATTTTGAATCTATCTAAAGCTTCACCAGGAATCATCTCACCATCATATGAAAGACACTCCTATCACTTACGGACACCAAGAATTTAGAAGATATGTGCCAGGAATTGGGAATAAAGACAAATGATTTATTATTATTATCTTACTACACTAAGCTAGGGAATGCAATTTTTATAGGAAGATCAGGAAAGTCTTTTCCCACAAAATTACATTTAGGGAGATACTGGAATAAAGTGAGGAATTTAGATGTGTGAATGTCTTGATTAAATGCCTTCAAGTACATTAAATAAGAGTAGAAAAGACATGTCTAGAGTAGAGAAAATGAGAAGATTGACAAAAGATGAGTACACAGAATCATTAAGGATGTGGTGCATGTTCAGCCTTACAGACCACAGTGTGATGGTCAGTGACTACAAATATTTTAATCAAGAGAATGCTTTGTTTTGATCAACATTTTGAAAAGATCACTTTTTACATAAATGGATTGTGTGGGGTGCAGGAGTGAAAGCTGTGAAATTATTCTTTTTTTTGTATTAAAGTTATGGACATATAGATTTGGCATTTTGGGAGTATTGAATAATGGAAACAAAACTTATAGCTGAAATGATAGTTCCTCTGGGAAGTCTTTTCTGAATTATTATGCAGAGTTAAGTGCTTTCTTCTCCAGGCCCACAGGACATCACTTTCAAATGTCTACTAAAAATAGAACCTACTGCATTTTTATGGTTATTTGACTATATGTCTAAAACCACCATTAGTAGATTATAAGCCCCTGGAGAACTGATTCTGAGTTTGTACATCATTCTACCCTGTGGTTACTATATTGTAGGTAATCAATAAATTTTATTAAATGTGTGAGTGGACCCAAACACTTAAATGTTCCTTTTGAGACCTAAATATCCAGTTTGCCATTCTGCTTGTTTTATTATGATATTTTTTGCATGAAGAATGCATCTTTAAGAAAATTTAAATCTATTTTATTTAGTGCACATATTAAAATATACATCTTTACATTCATGAGATGACTTAGTAACAACTTCTTTTTCCATATAGTACATTCCAGCAATTTTATGACCTTTACATGCAACTTTGCTTTTCTTAGTCTTTGAATACAACATATTGTAGCATGCTAAAATGAAATCTTTTTTTACACCATATGGTCTAACATAGCAGTCAACATCTAGTAAAAATTTGAGGAAGAAAAAAAAGTAGTATATTCCATTTACATGTATTATCCTGTTAGCATTTGCTGAGAAATAAAAAAATAAACTTAAATAAGAGATAATTGCATAGTCATTAGAGAATGCAAAACAAACAAACAAATACTATTCTATTCTTCTGACTTATAATTCTGTTATACTATGGGTTTGTTTGGTTCTTTTGTTTTTTGTACTAAAGCAGAGTAATATTTAACCTTTCCAGAAAAATAGTAAAACAAACAAACAAGTTGTACTGATAACATGGAATATGTGATTATAGATTGCAGCAGTCATGGCTCAATCGCTCATGTAAATAAATAGTCATTTATATACAAATCCAATGTAACTCACTTCCATCTTCTCCATGCATATTTCTCATTTGTCTCAACAATTAAGACAGGAAGATGTAAACCATCTACATGTAATTTTAAAGTTGTACATTTAACTAGTTTTCTGGAATGTATATTTGTAATACATATGGTCATATTTTAGAGTTTAATTAAAAACAATTTTTATTTTAAGACAATTATTTTGTAAAATATAAAACAAAAGATGTACAAAAATTAAAATTTTGCCTTTTAAAGATAAGACATATAACAATCTCAACATTTTTAACACTTGTGAACTTTATTTTAAAATCAGCAATTGTGTACATTTAGCATGTTTATGATGAGTTATTAATAAACTGAGTAAAAATTATATATATTAAGGAGCATTTAAAATATTGTTTAATCTAAGTGTTTATATTTAAGAGCATTCCTGATGAGACAAGTCTTGACTCTTGCTATTACAGTCAAATAGCAGATATATTTACTGCTTGTATATGTAATTTTTGTATATATAGCAGCTTGAGTTTAGAACACACCATCATTTATGTATTTCTAAATAAAAAAGATGCAGGTCAGAATGAAAATAACCACTAATTAAGGGAATTCAGACCATCAAGTCTATTTGCATTGACACTTCTCCTGTTTTTCATTCATTGCTTGGCAGTAAGTTAAATGTAGTAGATACATGCTTCTTCCAGACACCAGAATACAGCTGGGTGACAAATTTTACCTTTTTTATAGTTTTGAGAAAGTAAATATCATTGAAATATTACACTTTCAAAATGTGTAATCACTACTGGTTAATTATTATATTCATCTGATGTTACTTTAAATTAAACAGAAAACATAAGATCTATTCTATTTGATTATTTTTAGCAGAGAAACCTTTAGGCAGAATTTTAAATTAAGCCATTGCCTTCTTTAGAAGGACATTCATTTCGTGTAGCTCATAGACATTGGTCTAATTTAGTTTTAATGCAGTGGGTCACTCAGTTGAAATCACACGGTTTGTTTGTGCATCATGTTCTGCAGGGGTTTACCTCATGAGATTAAGAAATCAATGCTCATACTAGGTATTCAGCTTATTCTCTCCCTTGAGTCCCTGAGAGCTTATACATTTCTACTTAGTGAAGCCTGCTGAGAGGGCCAAAGTAGTTACTTTTGCTTCAAAGCAATCATAAGTATACCTCTGAAGCAGTTCTTCCCTAGGGCACAATTAGGATGATTTTTCCCCTCTGTTCAGAACTGCTTTTAATCACTTTGAAGTAGCTGTAATTATTTCTTTCTGACCACTGTTGGGCCTGGATGCACAAAGGTTACTTGGAGTATGTCAGCAATCTCTCTTCAAGCCTGTGTTAAATACCAAGCAAGAGACTCATAGGACCATGTTCTCTATTTCAGTGGGGGTATCATGGGAAGCAGAGAAGATAAATATGGCCTCCCGGGCAACAAAGGGATAAAGTTGAACACCCAGCATGTATAATTCCATTTCTTAATCTTATAGAAGGTTAAGCTAATATCACTGAAACTCTATCTGCCTAAATAATCCATCAGTCTCAGTCCCAGAATAATTTAAAGCCTATTAATAAGTAAACAGATTATTTTCTTTTAATACAACAATTTAGTATATAACATGTATGTATTAATTAGTCGGGAAAACTTTTCGTACATAGATATTTCATCTTGAATGTAACTAAGAGGTTAAAATCACTAAGTTATATTTTTATATCCTTAAATATAAACTGTTAAGAAAAAATTGTTCTATATTTTCTTTTCTTTTGCAATCTCACTTACGTGCTGGCGTGCAATTGTACCTGAAACTGTCATTTGGCTTAATAAAGGCATGTACAATGTAAGCCACAAATATTTTGATTTATATAGTAAGACAATGCCTGAATTCTATTGAGATATATATATATATTTTATGTATAAAGAATATAACTAGGTCTATAACAATAATTTAAAGGTTTAACTGATCTTTCCCTTTAGCCTAATATCTTATAAAAGGGTTATATATTCTTGTTATATTAGAAAACATATATATTCAGCCAAAAAACACTATCTAGAATTTCAAAATTTTATAATTTATCATTAAATTTATTAGTGGTAGTCATTAGTGTCTTTCAAAAAATTTACCTTGTTCTCATTTTATCAGTGTGGTTTAGAAGGAATCTTAAATTATATCAGCAATCACCTCTACATTATTAAACACAATGGTCAACTTACATCACTCATTTTCTTGATTTGGCAGTACTTGACACAGTTGACAATTTTGTTTAATTGGAAACACCTCTTTTCTAGGTCAAAGGACATCATTTGTTCTTGGATTTTCTCAAATCCTAGTGACTGTCTTTTCTCACTTTTATTGTTTTGTTCCTTTTCATCTTCCTAAGCTCTTAACAACTAGAGTGCACTGCTGATTTATTTATTTAATAATAATCTTGTAATTATTGTGGTGTAATAAACTACCCCAAACTTCAGTGGCTTAAAACAGGTAAGTATTTATTGTCATGCATTAGTAAAAATTAAGTATTTATTATTGCTCATGAATCCATGAGTGGTTCTGCTGATCTAGGAGAGGTTCTGCAGATTTTAACTGCTCACTGATAATCTGTGTTCAGCTGGTGTGTTGTCTGCTAGGTGGCTGATCTGCATAGCCTCACTTAGATTTCTGCAGATTGGCAGGCTAGGTGGCCTGGGCAATGGAGGTGACTGAGTTCAATTCTCTGCATCTAGCAGACTAGGCTGGCTTTGTTTATATGGCAGTGGCAGGCTTCCAAAAGAGAAAACAGAAGCACCTAAGGCATCTGGTAGAGGGCTGATTTGACACTTCCATCACATTCTATTGGCCAAAGCAAGTTATCAGGCTGGACTAGATTGAAAGGGGTTTGTAAAGATGCTATTCTTGATGAAAAGAATGTATGAAGTATCATTAGAGAGGGCATAAATAAAGGGAGTACAAAGAAGTGGTACACATTTGCAATGAATATCCCACAACAACTTCTTATCTTTCCCTGTTTTTATTTCCTCTATAATCTTAACCAGTTTCAGAAATGGGTTTAAGTAACATCTATATGCTGATAACTTCCAAATTTTGATCTATAACCAGTATATCTTCTTAGAACCTCAGACTTATATAAACATTTTTAAAATTTTCTTTCTTTCTTTCTCTCTTTTTCTTTCTTTCTTCCTTCCTTCCTTCCTTCCTTCCTTCCTTCCTTTCTTTCTTTCTTTCTTTCTTTCTTTCTTTCTTTCTTTCTTTCTTTCTTTCTTTCTTTCTTTCTTTCTTTCTTTCTTTCTTTCTTCTTTCCTTCTATCTTTCTTTCTTTCCTATCTTTCATGGAGTCTCGCTCTTGTCATTGCCCAGGCTGGACTGCAATGATGGTATCTTGACTCACTGCAACCTCTGCCCCTGGGTTCAAGTGATTCTCCTGCCTCAGCCTCCCGAATAGCTGGGAATACAGGCTCTCACTACAAGGCCGGGCTAATTTTTGTATTTTCAGTACTTTCACCATGTTGGCCAGGCTGGCCTCGAACTCCTGACCTTAGGTGATCTGCCCACCTCGGCCTCCCAAAGTGCTGGGATTGCAAGCATGAGTCACTGTGCTCAGCAGATATTT
The DNA here is from genome assembly GCF_000001405.40 of Homo sapiens. Classification (NCBI taxonomy): domain Eukaryota; kingdom Metazoa; phylum Chordata; class Mammalia; order Primates; family Hominidae; genus Homo; species Homo sapiens. The sequence goes on along the minus strand of NC_000004.12, from coordinate 136,423,319 downwards.
CTAATTAGATGTCAAATAATCTTCTTAAATTTAAAATATCTAAATCCAAGTTCCTATTTATCCCTTGTCACCTATATAACCAACTTAATTCTGCAACATTCTTTCCTATCTCAGGTGTTAATGTCTGTGTCCTTCAGTCTGTGAGTCCAAAATAGTTAGAGTGATGCTAAAGCCCTTTCTCTTGCAAGCCCCACATCCAATCTAGCAGTAAAATACCTCTCTTTCCAAAAATATATCCAATATCTGACCACTTCTTGCCAGGACCAGTACTTCCATGTCCAAACCAACACTATGTCTCAACTCTATCATTAAATAAGACATTCTCTTTTTCATCCTTCTGTCCTAGCAAAGCTAAAATATATTCTCTCACAGCAACCAGAGTTATTCTATTAAAACTCGAGTCAACTGATGTCAGTCTTCTACTCAAAATGTTCTTATAGGTCTCTCTCTGACTTTCTCGTCTGAAAGCCAATATATTTCCAATGAGGACTATATTGCATATATCTTGTTCAGTTCTTCACATTGCTTTGGCAAGGGAAACCTTACTCTACATCAAATATGTTTGGCATATTGGTGCCTCAGGACATCTTCAGCGGCCGTAAGTCTGCCTTTAATTCTCTTCCATGTCCATCAAATACACGACTCACTCCTTCGCTTCTTTCAGGTTTTGTTCAACTTTTACATTTCAAATGCTGTGTTTTCTGAATACTATATACTGCATTGAACACTACCTCTCCTGCCTACAGTCTCCTTCCAGAATTCTGTATCCCTGTACTTGCTCTGCCATTTAACACAATTCATCATTACACACACACACACACACACTTACTCAATTCTTTTCTTGTACCTCACTCCCTAAGTTATAAAAGTATTTGAGGAGAAGTTATCTTTAATCTTTTGACTGATGTTTCCTGCATAAGATAATAGTTCCTGGCAATAGTGGGCACTCAGTATATTTGTTGATGAAAGGGAAGGCTGAAAAAAGCAAAATATCCCCGGTCATTATGACCAATCAAGTTGGAAAGACAGATCAAAAAGACATGATAAAATAAAACTAGACAAATAACTGGAAAATATGTGTGGAATGTTATTTAAAAACAATTACAGTTATTTTAGATACACAACTAAATTAATGACAGTGAAAACCTTTACAGAAATTATATATAAATTGTTAAAAAATGTAATTATTTCCCCACATGGGGTAGGTCTGGGAGTGATAGAATTATTAGAATGTGTGTGAGGTATGTGAGAAGAATTAATTCCATATTTTACTCACATTATTAATATATTTTAAGGTTTCTCAAGATGAATAAACAACAATTTTAATTAAAAGCTCTAAACATTTTAACATTTAACCATTGACATAGTTATTCATAACTATATACCATAGACTGAAGTAATCTCATTAATATAATACCTGAAAAGTAAAAATATAACATTGAACATGATGACCAACTGAAGCAAATACAGATGTACTAATAAATGTCCATGTCATAAACTGAGTGAATTAAAATTACCTGCATTTTCCAAGTGTAATAGATGCTTTTGATGTTGCTAACAGTTTTCTGGCTATAATATTTCAATATATTAGTTTTAATTGATAAGCCTTCTTGCAGTTATTTTAAATAATTTTTTTCAGTAAGTTCCTACTAGGTAACCTTTGTCTAAAAGTAAGATTGTGAAATCACCTGTCATTTATTTAAAAAGCTAAAAAATATGAGTAGCATTTTCCATCACATTTATTTATAGTCTGTCAATAGAAAAGAGAGACATTGGCAAAGTTTGGAAAATTGCTGGTCTCAAGAGAGGTTCTGGTCCTGTGAAGCTATACTCACTTTTCTTTTGGAAAACACAGAAGCAACAATCCAGCTTTAATTAAAAAACATTTAAAAGCCTGTAACTTTTGTGAATTAAAAACAATCACATAAAATAAATTTAAATATAATTATAGCTTAAAATAATAATTTTAACAATCATTGTCAATTCAAATGTCACCATAGGTTTTTGTTTGTTTGTTTTGTTTTATTTTTTAGATTTCACAGAGTTGGTTTTTTTTTGAGTGTTGATATTTTCATAAACTGTTTACACTTTGATATTCATCATTTGTTGAGGTGGTTATAGTTCTAGTCTCTTTTAATGAATACCAAAATACATTATTTATTTTTTCCTAGCAATACCCAATCATAATTCAGAAAATGAATTGGAGCCTGAGTACTGTGTCATCTTTGATTCTAGTAACCATACTTAATCTACTAAGTTTACACTTGCTCTACGGTCTATCTAGATTTAAGGAAAGCACTCTGTTTTTAAGTATATTTGTTATTTTACAATGTTAAGAAGTAAACTTACATCATCTGGAGCCTCAAATTCTCTCCAATATTGTTTATACACAATTTCCGGAACTTATTCAAAGTAATCAGGCATAGAAGTAGAGACCTGATCAAAAACCAAAAGATGAAATACAAGTTTGATATAACAATGTAATTCTCCACTACAAAGGATGAAGAAATGAAAAAGTATATGCTTATCTCAATATGCAAGGAGAAAATAATTTAACACTTATTTAAAGAAAATATAATGCAACAGCAATTCATGTTATAAAAAAACTAACACTTCTTATCAAATTAGAAACCAAATTAATTTTTTTATTTGATAATATCTACAAAACACTTTTAGACAGTATTAAGTAACATGTTTGATAGTAAAATATTGGAATAGTTTCTTCTGGAAAGATATCTGCCACCAACACCTCTTTCAGTTTTTTGCAGAGAGATCTAGCCCATTGCAATATGGTAAATTAATAATAATACAATAACAAGATATATAAAAATAGGAAGAAACAAACCTATCATTATTTGAGGCCAAATTATGTTGTACCTAAAAACTCCAAAAATCTACAGGTAAATTATTAAAATTAAGAAGCAAATATTAAGTGCAGTACACAGAAACATTATATGAAAGTCAACTATATGTTTTCTATTTGCAGCATATAGTATAACATAAATTTCTCCAAGGCATAAAATTTATCATAACTTCAGAATATCAGGACATGTTTTCTTACTATTGTTAAGTTAAATTTGTACATTTTCTATTCTGCGTATGCCAACACTAACATTATATAGTTGTATAAACCACTAAATAGTTTTGCTCTTCACTGTCACTGACTTTTTTACGGCAGTGCTCCAGTGATTGCTCAGAAGCTTTATTCAATACTGTACTTTCCTTTTTCTGTGTTGATATGGAGAATACAAGTCGTGCTGCTGATAAAGAAGGTAGATGAGAAAAGCAAATGTAATCTGGTAAGAGGTACAATTTATCACATAAAGACATGCTGATTTTCCTTTGTTCTTCCTCTTTCAAGACCAAATTCCCTGAAATTTCCAAGGTATTGTTGCTTTTACTGTCAGGTCCCTGTTCCTTCCAACTATACACTCTGGCTCTCTCATGTCCCCTCTATACATTTGAGTTGACAAAAATTATGCTATTTAGGGAAACTAATTTTTATGAGATTTCTGGATGTTCACACATCCCTGGATGCTTGCTCAATAAAAATTTATTTATCCAAATTTGGCTTAGATGGATCCATAGAGTTTGTTTTAAATGGTGCATTATTTTATTTTTTGAAAAGTTACTTTTTGAGTGACTCTGATATATCTAGCAAGTACATGTAGTAATTGTGAACTATGCCAAAGGAATGTACACAATAGATTACAAAATATGGTTTATAATCAAGTACCAAAAATGTCTTCAAGTGTAAACTTACTTTGTAATTGTTATAGAAGATATAAGACCTTATTTATCAGTATCCTTTTCAGGTAAGGCCTCTACTACATATCAATAATTAGTATTTAAATCAAACTATTTTGCGTTCTTCTTATTTTACACATTTATTCTTTGTGCAGTTATGATAACCTTTACTAATATAATATTACTTCAACTATATAGAGCCATAAAACATCTATGAGAAGACACTAAAAAGTTCACTTTTTTAAAACTTCACTTCAAATATGCCTAGCTATTCAATTTAAACAGTCTATTAACATAATAATATCCATATTTTACTACTAATTGTTGAGCAGACAATTTTAAAAATTTGAAGAGACAAAAGGATCTCAAGAAATTTTCTATTCATTATCCAGTTTCCTGTCAGCATTATATCTAAATCATAGAGGGGAAAAATATGAATTTCAATCTTTATTTCTATTTCTCTAAAGGGGAAGAAATGACACAACCTCATACATCAATTTTAATACCTATTATCATTACTGCCAAGAATGTCTTCCTTTTAGTTTTAATTATTCTAGATTCCTTTCTAGAATAACTAAAACTAAATAACTTTTAATCTTTTAAGCTTTAGAAGAGTTAAAAGAGAGTTGGAGACAAATACTCAGTACCTTGGCTGAGGAGATGGTGGGAGAGAAAGAGAGAGAGAGACCAGCTTAATTTAACAGGCATCGCTACTTATCTTCTTTTTGGTTCTTATTTTAGTCTACTGAAATTTCATTTAATTAGGCAAACTTTCTCTTCTAAAGCTTAACCAAGAATTCCAGTACACCACCAAACATACTTTCCACAGGAGAAATAAAGTCATTATTAAGGAAATTGTATGCAAATTTAATATTTAAAAATATTAAATTGCAGCATTATTTTCTCAATAGTTAAAACTGAATGCATAAAGGTGTTATTATAATGTAGTGAATATGAAAGAAACATTTGTTACCCTCACTTTTTTCCAAGGAGTTGCCAGTTTGAAGAATATGGAAACTATTTTACTTTTATCTTTTAGATGGTAGCATTGCCTGTATATTAGAAATTTCCTATTACTAGATAACAGCAACTGAATCTGTACTGAGTAGATGCTTTTTATTTTGCATGGAATCAGCTTTCTGAAGATGTTTAAGTTTTAGAATATATTAATATATGTGTACTGCTGAATTGTTTGGGCCCAGTCATTTTAACCCTCTTTCTGTACTTGAAACAAAGTGCTCTATTTCTTTGATTTCCCATGTGTTGGAGTGAGTTAGGAGACTTTAATCACAAACTCTATTTTCAACCATCACAGCAGAGTTCAGCAGATTGGGACTCAGTAGGACGTTTATCCAGAACATTTTTTAGTGAATGCAACAGTTAAATGCTCAAACTTCTTCAATTTTTAATTGTTATTGGACGGATAGTATCAGCCTTAAGTGTGTCCTCATTCTTAGGTTTACTAAACAAAGATGAAACCAGATCTCAGCATAATATTTATGTTTAATAACTTCAGAAATATCAAAACAGCATCAATGATAACTATTTGGCTGTATAGTTAAGAATTGTATATCCTCTAACAAGTAGTCATATCCATTTTAATGGATTTACTGAACAGAATTCCTTTATAGAATGAAACTAATTTTAGTCAATTCTATGATTTAATTATACATTGTCATATGACTATTTTATGTTTAGTATTTCCACCTTCATGATTAGATTTTAATGACAATGACTATAGGAATATTTGCGTGTGCTGATATTCTCCCACAGTTTCTTATATTTTGCTTGTCCATATTTTCATAGTAGCAATTTTAAAAATACTAATTTCCCTGTTGAATAGTAACTCATCTCTCATGGAAGATGGTGAATGTTTCTGTTTTTTTTTGTCTTTTGTTTTGTTGTTTTTTAAGACATATTTTATTAGCAACAAATTACATTGTTACGCCATCACCTCTCCTACCCATACAGTGGCCTAACCTTGTCTAAGGTAGTATTAGACATATAGCAATGTTAAAATATGTTTGCTGGATTAAATTTGAATTGCATGTTAATTAAATGAATTTGAAATGTATAAATCAACACCTATAAATGCCTGTTCATTGCAGAAAATGTCATCCATGGTAAGACAGATGGAAGATATTTGAGTTTGACCTTGGATAACAAACAACCTCCACATTAAAAATATCAGAATCTTGTAATAGTCATAATCACATATATAATGTTTAGGAAAAAAATGAAATTAACAAATCACTATGTTAAACAATTCCGAATAGACAACTTTTAGCTCAACATGTTCATGTAACTAAAATGGTATTTTCTTAGATACTTCATTATGTCATACGAGGAGATCAAGTAGGTTTTTTGTTTTTTTTTTTTTAAGAAATTATGGACAAGGGTGATTGAGTTTCCCTTAAGACTGTCTTATCTGTCAAGGTATTAAGATGTCTCTATTTATGAGACAGATGGTATTTTAATTTGAATATAAACCAACTTTGGATGATAGATCAAAGAGACAAAAACATAACGTTTTTAACTGAAAAACAGCTTTATTTTTAAAGGCATGTAATGGCTTGATAAATAGATATATACGAGGATTTTTATTTATGATGTTTATAACTATGTATATATAATAATTATAATAATTATTCATATTACATAATAGCTACAAGTAGATGTTCAAATACTTATGTAGGTGAAATTCAGATTTTATGTTCAAATTTTCCCTTTTATATTGGGATTTTAACTGTACAATATTATTCTTTGCAATCATATCCAATGGTTATTGTGATAATAAGCTTTTCAAAAACCTCCAAAGTTAACCAGTATAGTTGGAAATTATGTAATTAATATAATATTTATTTTTTCATTAAAATTATATACATCTTTTTTTGGTTGACCTAGAATGGAAACTGAATATCATAGTATTTTTTCCACATCTTGCTTATTGGGTTTAATGAATTTTATTTGTACTGTGTAAGTACGGTACGCACCTATCTTTGTCACTTTCATTACATTTTAAATTTTAACACATTAAAGTTATAATTGTGATAATATACTGTGGCCTTGTGCCTTTATTAAATATTTTCTTATAAAAACAATGGTATAGATATCCTGAAACTCAATATATGTACTAAAGTTCAATGTACATATTTTATATGAATGTTAAAAATAATAAGGCAAATCTCATACATCATATATCTTAAATGATGTAATAAAAATGTTAATAAGAGTTAGTCTATTCGGGACACTCTTTTAATTCCAGGAGTGACTGATTATTTTGCTAGCATTATCTGCTAGCTGGGCAGAGTGGCTTGTACCTGTAGTCTCAGTTACTCGGGAGCTGAGGCTGGAGGATCCCTTGAGGCCAGGAGCTCAAGGCTGAAGAGAGTTATGTTCAAACCACTGCACTCCAGCCTGGACATCAGAGCAAGCGCCTGTCTCTAATTTTTTTTTTTTTTCAAATAGCTGGGCATGTTAGCATCTGACTGTAGTTCCACCTACTCGGAAGGCTGAGGTGGGCGGATTACTTGAGCCCAGAAGTTAAAGGCTGCAGTGAGCTATGATTGCATCACTGTGGTTTTGAATTGGTTGTGGGGTGCTGTGTTCTAATCTTCTACATAAGTTATGCTTATGAATCAATTTTGTGAACTGATTGCTCATAAAATAATTGATAAATGTTTAATGTACAAACTAGTTGGTTGTATGATTGCTAAGATTGTTTATCTAAGTCCATTGGTGTTTTTCTAGAGAATTCTGTCTGTAAGATTTGATTGACAAGTTTACACAGGCAGTTCTATGCAATTAGTTTGTGAGTTTTTAATCAAATAACTGCTCTAGACACATGGCTGCTTTTGAGACCTCCTGTACGACAAGATGTAAATGATGGTCATCCTGCTGCGATTGACAATTCTCCAGCTCGAGGACCCTCTCTATTTAATATAATTGGTTAGTGGTTTCTCGAGCTTGTAAATACCATCACTGGTTTGATAGGTGGAGTTTGCTAGGACCTAAAAGAAAAAAAATTAGCCTTATATTTCAAAGAAAAACATTTCCTAGAATTTTGTTACACAAGATTTGTTCTTAGTAATTATCAGTATTAGGTTGGGCAAAAAAAGTCAGCTGAGACTTATGTATCGTCATGGGTTGAATTGCATTTCCCAAAATGATTTAAAGTCCTAATCCCAAATGCCTGTAAACATGACCTTATTTGGAAATAGAGCCTTTGCAGATGTAATCAAGTTAAGATGAGGTCATTAACATGGACACCAATTCAATATAACTGATTTCTATATACAAATAGAAGACACAGGCATACAGGGAGAAGAACATCATGAGACAACAGAGGCAGAGATTAGAGTGTTGCAGCTGCAAGGCAAGGAATGCCAAAGCACACTGGCACTACCAGAAGCTTAGAAGGGGCAAAAGGGATTCTACCCAGAGTCTCACAGGAAGCATTGCCCTGCTGCCTTTTGATTTTAGACTTCTAGATTACAAAACTGTGAGACAATAATGTTTTTGTTATTTTAAGCCACCCAGCTGGTGTTACATTCATGATAATCCTAGGAAATTAATACATGAGTGAAATGCAGTGGCAACATCAGCTTCAAATCAGTGACATGGTTAACCTACTGGGGAATAACAAAATCTAAGGCATAAATTCCTCAAATTATCTGCCAAATTAACGCGTAAAAATAAGTTGAGGTTAAAAACACTTATCATGTATTTACTATGTCTATAGATTTATTCTTATTGCTGGGGGACAGAAGGAGAAGCAAGTAGAAGAACAAAGTGGAATATGATAGAACAACAGTTTTAATGAGCTAAGAGCTTAGAAGTGATATTAGACAACTAAATTGTTAAATATTGTAAAATGCAGAATTATGTAATTGTTAAATAACATTCAATTGGGATGTTGACTTTAAAATGAGTGTTGGAATGTAAGAAATTTTTCAAAGGGCAAAATAATGGGTATAAAATGTAGATTAGTGAAAAGCATGAATATGATTGAAACAAACATAGTTTGAGAATAGATAGTATTTTTAGGAAATGGTGAAAATACTAGCGTATTTCAAACATATGATGTGTCTGTGTGTGTCTATAATTTATTTTCTCCAAATAATTATGTCTTTAAAAATATATACATGGCATAAATTTTATACATATATATCAAATCTATTAATACACATGCATGAATGATGAAGACTTAGAGAAACAAATGCTTGTGATGTTCATTATTGTATATTGCTGTGTGGGAAGATATTTCAGCCAACATGGTCCTAATGTATTTGCAGGGCCACTAGGGCATTGAGACAGGTGCAAGAGAATGAGATCATAAACCTGCCTGTGGGTGGGTGGAGTCTTAAGTATAGCTTAATCTAATTCTTTTTAATATTGTGTCAGTTAACTATTGCCACAATCATGCCATTCAGTGACTTACAACAATGAGTTTAGGGCTCTCATATTTGAAGTCAAATCTGATGATCTTGGCTTGGCTTTTTCATATGACTTGAGATTAGTGATCTGTTGGCTGATCTGGGCTGCCTCAGATTCTTTTCTACAGCTCACTCATCCTCTAGTAGGCTAGCCTGCCCTATTATCATGTCAGTTTCATCTACCAGGAAATAACAAAATCCAGGGTAAAAATTCCTCAAAGTATATACCAAATTAACTTGCAAAAAATCAGTTGATGTTAACACTTACTATGTATTTATAATGTGTATAGATTTGTTTCTATTTGTGGGGGACAGAATGAAAGACAAGGAGAAGAACTAAGTGGAATACTTTTTTAAAAGACAGTTTTTTAATGAACTAAGAGCTTAGAAGTTGTATTAGACATCTAAATTAAATAAAATGAGAACATGCAATATCTTTTGAGCCTGGGCTTGAAACTGTCACACCATCATTTTTGCCTCAATCTCCTATTAAAGACAAATGGAAAGGACACCATAGGCACAGACTTAGGGAAACATACTCTACCCCTTAACTTTGAGAAACTGCAACATAACATGACAAAGGACATGGCTAAAGATAAATATAATGAAAAGATATCATCATTGTAATCTACCACAGCTACTCAATTAACTTCCACCATTGCTCCCTGGGGTTCCTACCATAACATTTTCTTTCTACACAGTTCTGATATCAGTCTAGTAGTCTGAATCTGTGGCAATAATTCCCATATGTAAGTACATAAATTGTCAGTTTGGTTGTATAAGTTAATTTTAAGAGCACAGTTAATAGGGATCTTCTTTGGAAAGACAGATTCTACTTTTAGTTGTTGAAAAAATTAGTTGTTATTCCTGAAAGCATGAGGAAAACAACTATTTAATGCTAAACTCAAGGTGATAAAGGTGACCTGAAAGGCCCTTGGGTTTGCTAGTCACTCAGGCAAGAACACTCCATTCCAGTCAAGCTTTTGGAAAGACTGGAAAATAAATTTCTTTGATATTTAAATTTCTGCATCTTACTAAAATTGTGAAATTATTTTGACTACAGAATATTTTCTGTGAGAAATTCTGCACCATTATATATTAGTTTCAGCTTTAAATGACAATTGCAGATGAAAAATAAAGAGAATCAGCTATAGCAGGCTGCCATTCTATTGCGTCTACTTTTACCCTTGATCTCAGGTTTGATTCATCACTTTTTGCCTGGTAGATTGCAACATACTTTACCATTGTGCCTTTTTTAACACTCACGCTTATTTTTCAAATGACTCATTAGACAGATGTTTCCTGGTATACAACAATATTTTTAAAAATAAATTACATCTGATAGAAATCCTATCAGTTCAATTTTCTTTATCCCTAGGTATTCTTTAATCTATTTTTCACTTAGAAAAACATGTATATAATAGATACCATTTTATAACAAATTTGGCAACTCAGAATTAATTTTTCTCATTATAATGTATTCTGATAGATATTAAACATATAATTGAGAATGGACTTTTAAAGTATATGAATTTTTTCCTCAAAAAGAAAAGCAAAGTGAAAATTGAAAAATATCTTTCCCATCTAAACCCCTTCCACTTTCAGCTTCTTAAAAGGATTTTTTCATATCATCATTTATCCACTTATAAGACAATATTTTTGAAGTCTCACTATTTGCCTTGTACTCTGTAGTCAATAATTGCAGGCACAGTTTTCTTCTTTCCTGCTGGACTCCCGGTATGCGGTGATAGATGTTTTCTGAAATGACGGACCTGCTTTTATGAATTTGCTGTTTGTGATCTTTGCATTACCTGTTTCCCTCCTCAAAGATTTCTGCTTTTCTTGTGCAAAGCACATCGCAAGTTTTAGTTGTTTTTTCATCTTTACCTCATCAGTTCTTGGTGCAGGGTCTGGAACAGTGGGAGTCCTTAGTAAACACTTAATGAATAAGTTAGCCTTTTTACCATGTTTATAAACAATTGTTTATATGTTATTCTTTTCCATTATACTGGAGTTGACAGCAAAGCTTTGTCTTTTTTCATTTTTGTACAAAGTTTTCTATTATCAGCAAAGTATCTTACACAGTCAGCATTGAATTAATGGTTGTTGAATAAATAAATAAATAAATAAATGTAAGAATTTCAAGAAGCAGGAAAGTTAAAACACATTATTATAGTTTTACAGTATTTCTGACTTCAAAATCTATCCTGTCTCAAAAACAAAACAAAACACAAAGGAAAACAACGTTGAAACCTACAACATATATTAGTTGAGATAACAGATTCTGCATAATTTTTTTTTTTTTTTGAGACAGGGTCTCACTCTGTCATCTAGTCTGGAGGGCAGTGGCAAGATCTCTGCTCACTTCGACCTTCACCTCCCAGGCTCAAGCAATCCTCCCTCCTCAGCATCCCTAGTAGCTGGGTCTACAGGAATGTGCCACCATACCTAGCTAATGTTTGCTTTTTTTTTTATAGAGACAGGGTTTTGCCATATTGCCCAGGCTGGTTTATAACTCCTGGGCTCAAGTGATCTACCCACCTTGGCCTCCCAAAATACTGGAATTAAGGGTGTGAGCCACTGCATCTGGCCATTGCATAGATTTTTAATAGTGTTTTCTCACTTTATTCATTTACTTCATTGAAACAATTACTTAGACCCATTGTGTACTCTTAGGCACTGGGCACCAACATTATAAAGTGAAAAAAGAGAAAAAACATGTTTATTCTTTTTCTGATGGTACTGCTTAATATATGTAAAAAAACCTCATTCTTATTTGTTAGAAATTAAATATACTCCCAAAAGGTGGGTATAATTGTCAAATTTTATTAATTAGAAGTTTGAATAGAGAAAAATCTGTATTGAAGTTAATATGCTGCATGACAGATCTAAAACCCCAAGCTTGACTGATGCCCACACTTCCCTTAGGTCACATTTTTCACTGGTTGCTCTGCATTTCCTTCCATGCAGTGTTCCCTTCCATCCTCACATTTGGGGAGTTCTAAATGAAAAAAACTTGTTTGCCTTTGATGGCCTCAGAGTTTCCTAAATCTATCTGACCTGTTATCCATCAATGACTCTTTACATAACTTGGAACATTTATTCCAAAGTTATCTGTCTAGGTGATGCTTCTCACAGTGGAGTACCGAAAAGGAGTACTGAAGGGTTCCAAGTACTCAAAATCTTCCTTCTGCATTCCCTAAAGACCCACCTCACAAATCTGCTCTGTGCCCAGTAATGAAAACAATCTTCAAAAAAACCAATATGTGCATTTTTCTTTAACGGTATTGTATGTTTTAAAATAAATATGTTAAATACATGTTAAAAAAGAGACAAACTAGGTATCCTATTACCAAAGGAACGTGGAGATGAAATAATGACACTGAATCCAAATGTTTGATATTGACTCTTTCCTTTCTTTTTTTCTTTTCTTTTCTTTTTAATTGTGGAATATCAGCTACACTGTGTTTGTTGACAGTGGAGTTAAGAGCTATTAAATGACGGGAATAGTAACAGTTTTGTTACTAGCAAATAAATGCTAGGTTATTCCCTGAAAGGATATACAGTAATACATGAAGTCTAGAAATCAGTTTCAGATATATCTCTTTCTTGTCATTCTTTTGTATTTCGCCTGGGCTTCTCTTTTTTATCTGTATGAACCATTTTCATTTTAAGTGAGATCAGGATAAGGAAATATAAAAAGCTTGTGTTTTCCCATTCATTCTAACATATGCAGATCATAGGTTCCTTCACGATCATAAGCAAAAGAATGGAGTGAATTTAATTTTCACTAGGAAATGATATTATTAGGTTGGTGCAAAAGTAATTGCCATTACTTTAAATGGCAAAAACCACAATTATTTTTGTACCATTCTAATAAATCTGAAATTTTATGGTTTAAAATATAGCTTAATACAATTACTATTTTTTTGGCAGCAAATGGAATAGTTACATATATGGATTGACACTTTCTATAGCCTACTTTTGTGTCTGGAAGTCAATTGAGAAACAGAAAGCTGCCAAATATTGTCCCATTCATTATTAAGATAAATTTGCAAGATAAGAGGATGACAATTATCACCAATCAAATCATTCTATACTAAGAAAAGTATGGACAGTTAACATATCAGCAAGACTTGTTGGTAATGAATATTATCACCTCTGAAGTTGATTGCTTCGGATAGGAAGTTGATAGGAGTTGGGGATCCACCAACAGTTATGGTTAGGCAGAAATAAGCACTAGAACCTATTATAGAAGTTAGCTCAGATTATTGGTGGTTAATTGTTTCAACTGGAAATGCCCAACTTTGTTGTCTTCTTAAATAGTCAGATGGAGTAGAAATATATTACTTCAGCACTTGTTGACAATCTCCATTGGCCTTATTGAGTCCAAAATAAATGAAGCTCCAAGTCATGGCAAGATGTTTTCCATGGATATGCAGAGTTTTATACAAATCCCTATTTATTTTGTGGAAGGAAAGACACTTAGGCTACTCAATGCCATGCTACTTTTGCTTTAACAGCCCTGAAATTTGCAACCTTACTTCATGATTTTATGAACATCTTTAAGGATATTATAAACATATTATACAAAACATCTTTTTTTTTTCTTTCATGGGCTCCATTCCTATGTTTCTTTGATTTGCAATGAAAGCTCAATAGTGCATTACATTAACTCAACAAAATCCAGTTTGAATTAATATACAAATATTTCTGTTATCTTTGTCACAAGTGGAATTGTAATGAAAGTGTATACTTATACACAATCTAGAAAATAATTTATTCTGCAGCTAAGGATGACATGGGTCAATAATGTGGTCGGGGGGAATAAACTAACATTGTACTATTTCATAAATAAAACACTATATGCTTTACTTGTGATTGAAACTTATGTAAGGTTATTAAAATAAAACATTTACAAGTGTATATCTGGGATGACTTCAAATTAAAATTACATATTGGATTGTGGTTGCCTGTTATTAGAGAGCCTACTCATCAAAAAAATAAATTTTAATAGTTAGAAATATTTCCTTATCTGACTCACATATCAAGTAATCAAAAGCCGGTCAGCACAAGAAAAATTCTGTATAGCTACCAGTTTTGTGGAGGCAGGGATATGCTTACCCTTCACAACATTAGTTCAAATATCCGAAGACAATACATTTTTTTTTTTCTCTCAGGTTTTGTCCTTTAGTTCTCTGTGTATATTCTGGGCCTCTCTGAAGAAAATTGACTGTGGCTATGGCTTTATACACTATAAACTTTGTTATGATTTACTCACTTTTAATGTTCTGACAGTTTAATAACTAGGTGGCATTTATTTTTGGTTACATAATGTTGAACAATAACCACCTGCTGAAAGTTTGCATTTGAGACATGGTATTAAAAGGAAAGATATGCCTCAGGGCAATTTGTAATAATGCCCTAGTCAAAGACAGAAATCAGAGAGGAAGAATTGAACTGACACCTTTTCATATCAGGTGAAAAACTAAATATATTCATGTTACTTCAATGATAAGGTAGATCCAATTTGGGATTAAACTATGTAGTGTGTATAATGTGGATTTACTTTTTAGTAAATGGAGTGCTTGGGGTAAAAACATGAAGAAATAACTTGTAAGAGGATAAGAATGGCCTCTAGAGACACTGTTATTTTAGGAAAGAAAACACCTCCATTTGCTGTGGAGATTCACTGTGTATGTTGTTGCTATTAGACTTTAGTCAACTTCAGGAAACCTAAGAGTAAGGTCACTAGAAATGACATTTTACTAAGTTGTTTATTTTTTTCCAGAGAGAAATGAGATGCTCCTTTTTCTTCCCTCATTTCTGCATTTATTTATTTATATAAAAACATTGGCATATCAGCATAGGGCCTGGGTGGTTATGAGTAAAAGTGAGAAAAGAGAATTTTAGCAGATGTAAGTACTTGTGCAAAATGCACGAAAATATTTGCTAATTCTTGGTTGATTTGGCTTCTACGTACCAATGTGTATTACTTTTCAGGTTTCATTTTTTCCTGGAAAAAATAAGTCCTCACAATAATTTAACGTGAATTGTGTAGTCTTATGCAAGTACCACAGAGCAGTGATTGTTATCCCTATCAACAAATTCAATAGGTGTATTAAGCTCTATTAAACATCCCCTGTTAAACTGTTAAACATTTATCCCGTTAAACATTTACCCCCTGTTAAACATTTAAAATAATTTATATGTTAATGCTAGATGTGCATTTTCAAACAGCATTCTGCTTATTTGCTGCCTATAAAATATCATCTCTGTCCTGAAAATAATAGAACATTTGTGATTTCCCATGGTTAATCAAGTAATTCTCTGCTATACCGACTGATAGGATTTGTTACGACTCTAGATTTTATACTTAACCTTAAGTCTTTAATGTCCAGGTTTAAGATTTACAAATTCCATGTTAGTTTAAAGCTTCTAGACTTATTCTGTTGCATTCGATTTCCTATTATTCAGGGATGTGCTTAGAAAGAACATTTTGTGCAAAAGAATATCGGTAGAAAGCCACTCTTCAGTTAAGGAAAGGGGGCTGTAAGAAAATATTGAACATATATTATAAATAAAATACACTAAAATTTAAAAAGTCCACCGATTTTGCACTCCATTTAGTATATTTGTCTTAGAGTTTTAGCAATCTGATGTTGCTGTATTGGTATTCCAGACTGAGTAAATCAGTAAATACATAGTAGATAATGAAAGCCAGTTTCTCATTGTCAGAGAAACAGACGAGAAAGGAGAGAAGGCTTGAGGGACCCCTGTGGCGTTAGATGGGAATCAGAAGTATCAGTAAGAGCACATAAGTTTTAGTCAATGTACAGATTAATATGAAAATAGATATGGATGCACATACATATTTTACCACACATACATATTTTCTGTATTTCCTAGCTCTGTACACTGAGAAGCTAGATGTAATGACACCCCCTTAGCAATAAACATATCTTTACTTGGTTTCTATATCTATACTCCAATAAAAGGAATCCAGGCTCCTTAGGGAAATAACTGATTGCACAATTACTAGTGTGGTGGCCCAACTGTTTCTAAGATGCCTCTGGGGATAAAGGACCACAGCTAGTCAAAGATTTCTGGAAAAGGGGACGCTATAGATGTCAAGACATTATAAACTGCAGTAATTAGGAGATTCTATGTTTAGATAAACAGATGAATGAAATCAAATAGAAAGTTGAGAGACTGTATACACACAGAAACACACACACATATAACATATATATGTATATGTTTTTATGTGTATACATATGCATGTAAATATATACAGGTGTGTATGTGTATACATTTATATAATATCATGTGTACATACACACATAGCTGGTATTACATACTCCAAGGAAAGAACTATGCTAATTTATTCTGCATAATCCCTGTGCTCATGTAGTCATGAGCACATGCCATGTTATTAATTAAATTGACTCAGTTCTTCAACATTTATTAAATGCATAGGTACATACATGCACACATATATATACTCTATGGGTGGCATAATTAAAATACATAGCAATAAAACTGGTTTTTATTAAGGGTCTACTATGGACTAAGCACTCATCAAAGAATCTTTCTGTAGCATGGCATTCTAACAGAAGATGTATGCATAGTTTGGGAGTAAGTTTACTGAACTATATGAAAGAGGCATATATATATATTTGGGGCTCAGAATGTAGAAAGCAAAAACTTGTAGCCATATTTTTTAATGAACAACTAGACTTGTGGGATTTAAAGCAAGAAGCAATTGCATTTTTTAAGCACCATTTTTTAACACTCCTGTCCTGAAGACATATCAAATAAATCCCAAAGCATTTTCATTTACTTTCACATCTCATTAGTTTTATTTTCCCAGGTTTTTTTTTTTTAAAAAAAAAAAACAACAAAACAATACATGGTTTAATCTAAACAAACTTTTATTGTCTGATGTAAGCTAGAACTTCTGCTTTACTTTCATAATCTCAAAATCCTGTAGTGAGAAAGGTAGGAGACTGGTAGATATGATCAGGTTTTGTTTGTTTATTAGTTGGTTTTGGAATTCATTTTACACTTTCTTCTTGTTCTTGTTTTCCTCTCCTACCCCTCATTTGTGTGCTTTCTTTTACTCCCCCGTGATTTTGAAAATGAGAGGATAGACAGGTAGTGTAGTAAAGGTTGGCAGGTCTTATATAGTTGAGGATGTTGAATTATTTCATTTATGTTCAATTATTTCATTGTTGAGTATTCTGTAAGGGCTTCACTCATATTTCACTTTCACTGAAAGTGAAATAACTTGAAATATACTAAATGAAAGTAAAGCAGAAGTTCTAGCTTACATCAGACAATAAAAGTTCCAGTTTGGGGTGATGCCTCCACTTACTGGCTACTCACAGCTCCCCTTTCCAAACTCTGATTTCTGTGGTCCACTCCATGCTGAGTCTCTCTGCTGGAGAAACTTCAACCCTCTAGTCTGGCCTCTTGACCACAGATCTTTTCAAGAGGACTCAGGTCCTGCTTCCTTCTGCACAGTTCACACATGGCCAACAGACTCAAACACCTTTCCCCATCATCTATGTGAGTACAACTTGCTCCTCCATAGCCATCTGTCTTCATTCAGCCATCAGAACACCTGAAGTCATTGTGTTGCCTTTGGATTTTTTACTGGAAATTCAGACAGGGTTTCTTTTTTTATTATTATTCCTACAAATTCCAGGAGACACAAACCAAGCCTCTCAATGTATTCTCTACTGCTTTTCCCTGGAAGTAACTGAGCCAGCCAAATAATGCAGCTTAAATAAAACTTAATAATGATTGAGAGGTCAATCTCACCTCCGTGCAAGCATTTTCAAGTGCTACACATGGTTTTCGTCCACCCAAACCAGATAAATAGAACTACTTTACAACATATTATTTATACAACGGTGTTTAATTTTTATTATGTTAGTAATAGGAACTTAAAGGTTTTGAACAAAATGGTGACATAATCGGAAGTATGCTTTTAAAAAATGTTAAGCATCTTTACTGTTTTTTCTTAAAATTTTTAAATTATTAAACTCAACCTGGCTTTGGTTGAACAGTAGCAGTTATCTTCAGTTGGTTTTTGGGCTATATTAAACCTTGACGTATACACACACACACACATAAATGATGTGATTTGCTACATATTTTCCTTTTATGGAACTATTGGATTTTGTGAGTGTTCACTCTCAGAGACTTGGCGCTTAAAATTTTAATTATATTTGTTAATATTCCAATTCATATGGCCACTGTTGATTTGACTAGTTGTCATGATATTATTAGCTCTGTCTATAACCCTGCATAAAAGTGATTTGATTCTAATCTTCATAAGGTTTGAAAAATAGTCAATAAAAGCAAGAACTGTTGTAGCCTGAGTTTAAATCCCTTTTTTATTGTAATTGAATTAGTTCACCCTATCTTGGCCTGGACACTCTTCTGTAATTTTCTGTTAAGCTTTCAAAAGTGGCTTGCATTATGTAATCAGAAGAAGAAGAAATAAAATAGATGCTTTACTTAACAATATTATTTTTAAAAAGCACCACTGAGTTAATCTATAATACACTGTTGACAAAATACATTAATAACAATGAAAAACTATGGTTTGAAATGACTGCTGAATTTTCATTTAAATTTAAATTTAGATGAAAATATCTAAAGTGCTCTTGTTGCTTTAAATTACCTTGTTCAAATCTTTCCCATTAAAAAGAATGGTATTTGCAAATCAAACAGATGAGTTTGCAGCTCACATCGCTGAGTACTCTTCTTCAAAAATATCTCATTATTATAACAAGAGATACTCTATTTAAAGCATAGCAATGGAATTCCACTTTTCATTCTGTTCTTTACTTGATAAAGGAGATTTCACTATTTTATGCTTCTCCAGACTTCAAAAATTGATAAGGGAACCAAATCAGCCTAGGAAAATCAGGTTGAAAGTGGTATTTTAAAAAATTATATCTGTGTCCCAAAGCAAACTCTATGTTAAATTGTACTTAAACTGGACATTGCAATTTCACTGAGTTTCCTCTAATTCTCAGTTTTCCCAATCAGCCTCATAGAGCATTGCTCCAGGCACATTCATGAAGAAACCTCTACTGGCTGGATGCAGAAGGATGCCCAAATATAAATATTTTATGTCCTAGTCAGAAGTTAATATTTGGAAGATAAGAATGACGTTTAAAATTGTCACAAATTTGTATTTTTATTTTACTGAAAAAATCACAAAGACAAGCCAGGCATGGTGGCTCACGCCTGTAATCCAGCACTTTGGGAGGCCGAGGCAGGAGGATCACGACGTCAGGAGATCGAGACCATCCTGGCTAACACGGTGAAACCCCGCCTGTACTAAAAATACAAAAAAAAAAAAAAAAAAAAAAATTAACCGGGCGTGGTGGCGGGCGCCTGTAGTCCCAGCTACTCAGGAGGCTGGGGCAGGAGAATGGCATGAACCTGGGAGGTGGAGCTTGCGGTAAGCCGAGATTGCGCCGCTGCACTCCAGCCTGGGCGACAGAGCAAGACTGTCTCAAAAAAGAAAAACAAAAGAAAACAAAAAATCACAAAGACAACCACGCATGTGACGTGGAAAAAAATGTCATGGCAAAATTTCTCTACTCAGGTTAATGCAATTTGCTCACCATCTTATATGGACCATATGTGTATATTTACTTTTAAAATCCAAAGGCAAGTAAGTGTTATCTCATGTTCTCTGAGTATAAGATTCTCATGAAAATTAGTTGAAATCGTAAGATAAGCTCATTTCAGTAGAATAGCATCGAGCTGGCTGTCGAAGGATAGAAAAACTGGGAAGAGAGAGAGTCAGACTAAGTGAAGGTATAGGTTGGGGCAAACTTTCTAACATGGAAATTGGATGACATGTTAAGAGGGCAATGAAGAAATCACCTTTTAGGGAAAAGCAGTTATACTAGTGGTATGGAGAATATGGTTAAATAGATCAAGTAAGACCTCAAAAGGCTGTAAAATAAGGCATATTACAGTGAAGTGAACACCAGCACCAATATCAAGTAATATATACTGAGTATCTACATTGTTACAAAAATTATCCTAAGAGCTGAATGTGAATTACCTCATTTAAATTTCATAACTATCTAATAGAATAAGTATTGTTATGTTTCATTTCATTAATGAAGAAACAGAATCTGAGATATGTTATATTTACTAAGGATATAGTGTTAATTAATGGACTGCTATGGGCTCAAACAGTTATGTAATAAGTGATGGTTAGTGGCAAAACCAGAAAAGAAGATTTTCTGTCTGATATCCTCTTCAATCAATAAGCTTCTGCTTAACAATGAAGATCGCTCCCCATATGTAACAACGCAAATTATAATAACTTTCTTGACTTCTTCATCTCCTATATGTAATATGAATTACACAGACTATATCACATAAAATTTAATTACTATGGGAACCGTGTTAGGGTATTACCTCAATTTTTTCAAGTAGCCTCATTTAAATGTTGAACACTGCAGGTGTCTTAGGTATCCTCCAAATAACACTATTATCCTACTCTGAATACAATGACACATAGAAAGGTTTTAATTTAACCCAATGTTACATCGCTAATAAAATAGTAAATTAAGGCTTAGTAAAATTACATATATTGCTTAAAGTAATGCAGATATTAGGTGAAGGAGGATACTAAAGTACAGAGATAAAATAACTTCCCAAGGTGGAAAGAGTGAAAAAATAAATAAACCTAAGATTCAAATCACAAATTAACTAAGGCTAGAGCTAGGAGGTTTAATGGTGAGAATAATAGCAACAATAAAAAAGATCAAGTTAATAGCCCTGTATTCATGGAACTGACAGGTAAGTTGTGGAGACAGCTTTGATTCCAATAATCACACGTGTAACTGTAAAGTTACTTTTCAGTAATGAAAAGTAACTTTTCATTACTTCTGTACATTTACTTGTTTCTGTAAAATGTTTCAGTGGAGACACCCAACTAATCAGGGAGGCCAAGGAAGGAGGACTTTTCTGATGAAGTGGTGATTAAGTTTTGAGTGAAGAAGTAAAACAGGCAAGGGGGAAGATGAGCATTTAATGCTCAAAGTTCTCAACGTAGGAGATAATTTGAGACCTGAAAGAATGCATAACTGTTTGTTTTGCCCCCACCATAACACTCTGTTATTATTTCAGTTTAAAAGAAAAAGAACTCATGTTCTTCTGCAGGTGGGATAACTGGATGGGGGTTGAAGCCAAGAGGTCGTTTCTTCTTTCAACATTATCTAACCTGGTTCCCAGGTGCATTCTTCCTCAATGGAAACAAGCTTACTAGACTGTAACTCTGTACAAATTTTCTAAAACATATATTTGGAAACAAGTATCTATAAATTCATTCCCTACCTTTGGCGTTTGATAGAGCAGCTTCTTTGAATGGGCTTCTCAGGGGGCATTTAATGGTCAGGAATTGGTCAGGAAAACCCTACAATCCATTCTTGACATTTCACACAAAAAATTTCATGCAATGAGTTGGATGACAGAATCATCAGAAAAGGTAGAGGTGTAAAAAGGTGTCGGGGATGGCCTTCCCCAAACACCAGAAAATATAGGAAAGAAGGCCTTGCAACTGTGACAAGAGGCCCTAGCCTTCTGCATCTAAGATGCTCTGGCTGCTGCAAGAGCATCATATTCTTTCTTGCTGTCACCACAGGAGTGGGCCAAGACACTCTACAGTCCAACACTGTAGCCACTGAAGGATTTAGAATGACGTTGACCTCTCCAGCCCTCAGATACTGCACTAGTGACTTCCACTGACAAAGCCAACAAAGATACTGCTGACAAAATGGGCTCCTTTCCATGTCCCTATTATTTAAGTTAGCAGTAGTGGTGGTTACCAAAATGTCAAGCAAAAACGCAGATAGTCCAAAAGCAGAAGTATTATTTAGGAGTAGAACTTGCCATTCATAATAAAACAAATCTGTCATGCAGTTAGTAACAAGGAAGGTGTTATGTGACGTAACGCTATTTAAAACCAGATTTGTATGCGTTTATTTACTCATGATTTTCTAATTTGGACTGTGCTCAGCTTGGAAGTTTTTTTGCTCATCCTGCTTGCAGCTGCAGTCATTCGATGAATGGACTGGTGCCCCCACCAGTCCATTAGGTGGAAGGGCTAAGATAACCTCATTCACATGTCCGGCAGTTAACTGGTTCAGTTGACTGGGAAACTTAAATTGTACTCCATGTCATTTCTCCAGCAGCATAGTCCTGAAAACTTCATACATTGCAAGTGGAAATGTAAAATGATACAGCCAATTTGTAAAAGAGTTTGACAGTTTCTTAAAATGATAAGCATAAATGTCCCATAAAATTAAGCAATTTTACCTTAAAGATCCATTTAAAAGAAATAAAATCATATGTTTATGAAAATATTTTATGGGAATGTTTATAGCAGCATTATTCATAAATCAAAAACTGGAAATAACACAAATATCCACCTATTGGCATACAGATAAAAAAATGTGGTGTATCCAGATAATGAAATACTATTCAGTGGTAAAAAGAAACAAAGCACATTTTACAATATGAATGAACTTAAAAAAAACATTATGTTTGTGAAAGAAGCCTGATTGATAGGAAACACCACATATTGTATAATACCATTTATAATAAAAGGCAGTTCTCTAGATACAAAAACCAGGTAAGTAGGTGCCTGTAGCAGAGATGTGGGAACAAGAAAAACCTGCAGATGAGCACAAAGGATCTTTTTAAATGATGAAAATGTTTAAAACTGGAGTGTGGTAATGGCTATATGACACTGTAAATTTACTAAAAGTTATTGAGTTATATAAATAGAACATTATATAAATAGAACAAGCTAAGTTTATGCCATACAAATTATATAAATTATACCTCAATTAAAATGACTAAAATGTGACTTCTTAAGAATGACTCATCTACAGGTATCAAAATTCATGATCAGATGGTATAAGTTAGTAAATTAAGCATTAAATATGATTCATTTATTTTCTTTAGTTTGGCTTAAGTCGGGTAATTTTTGTTGACATTAAAGTAAAAAATTGTTTATAATCTAATATTACATATTTTGAACCTAAGAAAACATGGGTTGTGATTACCAATATTTAGTTTATAATAGACAGATATAAATTAGTGATGTAATATTGTTTTATTGAGGATTGAACTATGTATTTAGTAAATAAGACACTACTATTATAACATGCTTTAAACAATTTCAATATTTATTTTTATTTCAATTGTCTTATTAACATAAAAGCAGATTCAGGATATATATTAGGTAAAGTTATAGTTTATCAAAAAGTTTAGTTTAAAATAAAATTATATCATTCTAATATTAAGGACTCACAATATCTTTTTTTCTATTTTCATACATGCATACATATCACAATAAGAAAAATTCCATTCCTAAATGTAATACTGAGCTGGCTTGAGCACCACATATACTAACTGGAATAATTATTGATACCAGCTAAAGGTCTTTTAGACACTGTGAAAACTAAAAAATTAATATAAATTTACCCATTACTGTACAAATATTTAAAACATTTAGATTATAGATCATTGCACATTAGCCAAATCTTATCATATGATGCATTGCTGCAGGGGTCTTTTTAGTGATATTTCACAGGAAATATCAAGGATGCCATTGTAAGTAAGCCCTTGGAAAATTTCTTCTCTACTTGGATTTAAAGTAGTTCTTCACACCACAACGTAATCAGAGCCTTGGTATCATGAGACAAAGCAGTCATCCAGGGACTAAAGTTGGAAAATGCGAGAACACCATCAATTGGTCTAATTTGTTGGCCAAAAATAAAAAGCATCTATTATTGAAGCCAAAAGCAGGTAAATAAGGTAAAAGTAGCATGGAATTCAGAGGGAAAGATTCAGACTGGACTGGAACAGTACTTAATCTGCATAAATCAAAGGCTACATTACACACACACACACACACACACACACACACACACACACAGATGTGTGCATGCATACACTGTCATACAAGCAATATGTATCAGTTTAGAAGAAAATCATTTCAATATTTTTATAAAGTGCTAATTTAAAGGAGTCCTCTAAAGACATTGTAACATATTCTGCTGGACCAGGTTAACTGATTGCAGTGTCAAGACTCCACTGCCTAAAGCAAGAAAATTGAAGAAAACAGCAACAGTATCCACTTCTGTCTTGTAGAGCCTCATTTCTCAGCAGATGCACTGTTATACTAATAGTGACCTAAGTACACAGATATGGCACAATTACTGATAGCATATTTTGAGTTTATACCTATGCTGTGCAAAATGTCAGGGAAATAGAGTCAACCTACACCATGCCTTTCTTCTTTTATTATCAATATGTTTATGATGAAACATATTTCTAGTTCTTATATTTTCAAACGAAATGACGAATTGCTAGAATATCAATTTAGTGAAAATAGTGAAACTAATAGTTCATGCTATCACAACCAGGTATGAAAATTAGAATAAGATGATTATTTCAATAACGTTTTTGAAGGACAAATGTACGTTAGCCAATAGATGTTCTATGTAACATATAAATTGTCTCATCAAATATTGAATAGAAATATTTCCAACAAACATAACCTACTTTATTTTGAAGAAATAAATATTTCTAAAATAATGTATTATTCTCACAGTGGAGACTACCAAAATTTAACATTTAAATGTAGGCTGTAGGCTATCTTTCATTTTAAGAGGACATTTTTAAAATTTTTCATTTGATACCTTTCTTTCATTTTTGAGAAGTCTAATTATCCAACATGCTATAGAAAATAATAGCATATGAAATGTGAAATACAAAGAAGAGAGTTTTAGAAAGTTAGAATTCAATATGTTATTTTAGAATAGAGATGAAAGGTCAGGGAGGGGGGTCATGCAACTAGAATTATTTTGGGGACCTTTTCAAAAGTGATGCTTCCCAGTTCATATTCTAGACATATTAAATGAAAATTTCTAAAAGTGTGACTCATACATCAGAATATTATATTCTCAGAGAGATTATAATGAACTAACTGGGTTAAACAAGAATATACTGTATTCTACAACTTAGAATGATATCACAAAATAGACTTACTATGTTTTGGGTGCATTTCATTTTATAAATGTGATATTTCATGCTTATTCATTGGTAAATTGCCCTGGTGCTCAAAGTCATAACCTTCATAATACAAGGAATACATGATCTAGCCTAACTACAAATGTATAGATTATATTTTCTCTCTATTTTTCAACTGATTTATTTTCAAATAGTTTACTTAGCATCTTTCAAGTAAATTACAGAGGTAAATTTAGACAACTTTGAAAATTTGGCCTAACTTATTTAACGTTTAATTTAAAGCTAATTGTAATAATTTATGCATGACAGAAGTAAATAATATAATATTAGAAATTGCAGTCTTCAAATAAAAATACAAGTTTTCTGGAATAATTGAATATACAATATGAAAGAAAGGAGGGAACACAACTTATTTCTAACTTTATTTGAAGTTGAAAATTTTGAATTTAAGTTTAAATAGAACTGATAAAATTAAACAATGGCAGAAGTAAGGGCAAATAAATGGTTATGAAATGTTTATATCAAAACACTTTTTAAAAAGGAGTGGAATAAAAATAAATTGCCAGTATGAGAGAAGCTGATTTAGAAGGTCGGAAGGGGAAAGAAAAATCATTGCATGTTTGCATATGTTTAAAATTCTAACTTCCATTCTGGTGCAAAAGAACAAGACAAAAGAAAACTCATACTAAAATTTGAGAGAGATGTTACATTTATGGTTTCAGTATGTAAATTATTCTTAAAGACAAAAAAATAAAGGAGGTGGTTCAGGAGATCAGACATTGAGGAGATGAGCCTCCCGTAATTAAGACGCAGGAGGAACAGTCAAGGAGGGTGTACAGAACCAGAGTAATGTGGTGCCAAAGAAGAAAGCGTTGTAAGAAAGGTGTTACAAATGGTCTCAAGTGCATGAAATTGTGAGAGGAGGGAAAAAACAGCAATAGTCAATTTCTTAGAAAAATAATTTGTGAAGTAGTTATCAATAATTTGTATGTGTCATCATTCTTAAGCAAAATCAATTTTGTGTAATGAACTTAGCCTGCCTTATCTTTAATATTTTATTTCATATAAATATAACATAAATAGAATAATCCACTATCTTTTTCATAGCATGACTTATGACAGCTTATACTTTTGTAAACACAATTCTAAGAAATCACAAACTTAATTAGCAAGAAAATTCCAGGAAGAAAAATTCATTCAGGTAAGGCAAAAAGTGAGAGAAAAGGAGATTGAAAACTTTTTATGTTTTCATTTCTCCTTTTCTAAAACACTGCAAACTATATTAACTATATTTTTGCATATTATACTATATTATAAAGATTTCTAGAATCTCCACTATTGGATATGAATAACCAGTAGTTTTTACATTGTATAGAAAACGATGACATGTGAATAAGTATGTGTTCAGAATTGGTGAGTTCTTGATCTCACTGACTTCAAGAATGAAGCTGCGGACCCTTTCGGTGAGTGTTACAGTCCGCCGTTTGTTCCTTCTGATGTTTGGATGTGTTCGGATTTTCCTCCTTCTGGTGGGTTCGTGGTCTCGCTGGCTCAGCAGTGAAGCTGCAAACCTTCGCAGTGAGTGTTACAGCTCTTAATGCAAGGCATCTGAAGTTGTTCACTCCTCCTGGTAGGTTTGTGGTCTCGCTGGCTTCAGGAATGAAGCTGTAGACCTTTGCAGTCAATGTTACAGCTCATAAAAGCAGTGTGGCCCCAAAGAGTGAACAGCAGCAATATTTAATGCAAAAAGCAAAAGAACAAAGCACCCACAGCATAGAAGGGGAGCCCAGCAGGTTGCCACTGACAGCTCTGGCAGCCTGCTTTTATTCTCTTATCTGGCCCCACCCACATCCTGCTGATTGGTCCATTTTACAGAGCACCAATTGGTCTGTTTTACAAAGAGCTGATTGGTGCGTTTTGACAGGGTGCTGATTGGTGCGTTTACAATCCCTGAGCTGGACACAAAAGTTCTCCAAGTCCCCACTAGATTAACTAGATACAGAGTGTCGATTGGTGTATTTACAAACCCTGAGCTAGACACAGAGTGCTGATTGGCGCATTTACAAACCTTGAGCTAGATACAGAGTGCGGATTGGTGCATTCACAATCCCTTAGCTAGACATAAAGAGTCTCCAAGTCCCCACCAGATTAACTAGATACAGAGTGCAGATTGGTGCATTTACAAACCCTGAGCTAGACACAGAGAGCTGATTGGTGTGTTTACAGTCCCTTAGCTAGACATAAAGATTCTCCAAGTCCCCACCAGACTCAGGAGCCTAGCTGGCTTCACCCACTGGATCGTCCACTGGGGCCGCAGGTGGAGCTGCCTGCCAGTCCCGCCCCGTGCCACCGCACTCTTCAGCCCTTGGGCGGTGGATGGGACTGGGCGCAGTGGAGCAGGCGGCGGCGCTCATCTGGGAGGCTCGGGCCGCGCAGGAACCCTCGGCGGGCGGGGCGGGGGGGCTGTTGGGGGGAGGCAGCTAAGGCCTGAGGAGAAATCGAGCGCAGCGCCAGTGGGCCGGCACTGCTGGGGGACGCGGCGCACCCTCTGCAGCTGCTGGCTCGGGTGCTAAGCCCCTTACTGCCGGGGGCTGGCGGGGCCGGCCAGCTGCTCCGAGTCTGGGGCGCCAAGCCCGCGCCCACCCGGAACTCTAGCTGGCCCGCAAGCACAGTGCGCAGCCCGGGTTCCCGCCTGTGCCTCTCCCTCCACACCTCCCCACAGGCTGAGGGAGCCGGCTCGGGCCTCCGCCATCCCAGGAAGGGGTTCCCACAGTGCAGCGGCGGGCTGAAGGGCTCCTCAAGCGCGGCCAGAGTGGGCGCTGAGGCCGAGGAGGCACTGAGAGCGAGCAAGGGCTGCGAGGGCTGCCGCACGCTGTCACCTCTCAAGTAGTTAAGAGATAGGTAAATATCAAACCACATTATTTTTGTCTGATTAAATTTGCTGTCAGAATTTGAAAAACATTCCTGTGTTTAACAGCTGGGAAAATAGAGCCTTCTCAGAGGTAAGAATTTTAATTTCCACAGATGAAATACCCATTTTAATTTTATCTGCTAAGTAAATTATTAATGGCACACTATAATACTAAATGGATTTCTCCCACCCTCCTTTTCTTTGGCTTGAATATAGATATGAATTACGTATTTACTGGAGTGAAGCCGCAGCTAAAATTCCCATTTTAATAATTGTAAGCTTCTTCCCAAACAACAACACCTACCTATGACAGAATTGCCAGTTAACATGCCAGAAAAGTACCCTATAATTATCTTCACAATTTCAGTCTAATAACAGTAGGTGACAGTCATAATCAGCAAAAAAAATTCACTAAGGGGTTTATTTTATTTCCAAAAGCATTCTAGACGTGGCAATTTATTGTCCTTCTTTCAGTGAAAAGTACAAAAGTCAAGGAATAATTTAATTTTGAAATCCAAAAAGTAATATTTAATTGAAATCTGATCTGAAAAAGATTTATTTCTTTTTTCAACAAATATTTATTAAGAGGCTATGTTTCATGATGTGAACTTACCTTTGAAAATAAAAGCCATGAAAAAGGGAAAACAATCAGAATCTCTCTTCAAGAAACCTGGTGCATCCTCTACATGTAGCTTATACTCAAAGACTAAGACACTCAATTCCAGCCATCATACTTACTCCATCTATCAGAAAGCAGAAAGGAAGGAAAAAGGATTGTGACCACTTTTTACAGGATGTTTTAGAGTTGCAATATCATACCTCCTCACGGTCATTTGGACAATGCTTAGTCACAAGACTTCACCATTTCCAAGGAAGTAAGGAAATATGATATTTATTTTGGGTATCCAAGACCAAGGTAAAATCCTGGGTTACTTTGCTAAGAAAGAAAGGTATGATGGATACTGGAAGTGATGAGCAGTTTCTGCCTTGTTATCTAATGTCAACTGCATTTGAGGACCATGAGGTCCAAGAGAAAACAGCTTCCCAGAGTAAATGAATGAGGAAGAGAAGGGCCACTGTTTAACAATTATTTTGATCATTTTGACATTTGATTTTATATTCAGGCGACATTTCATGTCATTAGAAGACATAGACATGACAATTTTCTTTCCTGAAACTCTATCCAAGTAAGTATCTGGCTGACAGCATCTAGAAGAGTAATTCTCAAAGTCTGCAGATCTCAGGTGGTCTGAGTCACCTGAGGTGCCTTACAAAAAATCTACATACCTATACCCAAGTATACAACTACTGACAGATTATTTGGGGACAGGACAGAGAAAACATTTTAATAAGCTCTCAGTGTGACTCTTACACATAGTTGTTTAGAGAACAATAGAACTAAGAGACATTTCTGGGCAACTTGGATTCCAGAATCTAGGTCTGGGTGATAGAAAAATTATTTTCCTAAAAATAATTGGCAATTGTATTCCAAATATGAATCATTGAATTTTATTCACTCTTTCATAATTTACTGATTACACACACACTGAGTTTTATAGACAGCTTATGTCCAGAAAATGAGAATTAAGTACTCATGGTGTTTATCTATATCAACAAGAACCTGTCTTGTTCTAAGGAAAACATATTAAATAATTTCAATGTCATAAAATATTAAAAGATATTTACTTTTTAAAATAAGGATGCTCTAAGAATAACTCATTTATATGGAATGAAAGTGGTTCAGTGCACTATATAGAACCTAAATCAGTTGTCAGTTTTCTATATGTCTTCTGAACATATACGTCACCTTTCACAGGGAGCTTATAGGAATGGAAAAACATAAAGGTTATAGCTAAAGAGTTCCTACAATACTGAATAATTGGATTGTTAGTTATCAAGCCCTTCACCTACATATCTGTACAGATTAGAAAGGTGATGTTTTACAGAAATGTAGGTGAGACCATTTGTCTTGATATGCTGCACTGCAGGAACCTGACTGCCTTTTATGATAAGGCCAAACTGGACACCTTTAAGCTGCTGGTGCTAGCAATGAGAACATTCTAATTGAGTGCCTTTGTTCATTTACCTCATTGAAACAAGAGCGGTTTTGTTCACTTACACATTCACATAAAACCATTTGGGTTCATTTGTAGCAATTGTTAGAGGCAGGTATTTGTGAAATACTGTTGGCAATGTTTAAATATAATTTATCTCTTCCCACAGATGACCACAATCCTAGTGAAACCCTTTTATTCTGTACATTATGATTTAGCTATTTATTCATTTTTATTCCTCTAGCTACACTAGATTTCTTGAACAGTCATTTCAAATTCCATTTAGGGAATAGCACCAAGGGGCATGACCAAGATGAGTAAGATTTCCCATTTGTACTCTGAAGAGCTGCTATTTGGATGTGACTTTGAATGAAAGAATGCATTTCTGGAAAGTTAATAAGTCATGGTGTGCATTTATAATAAAAGTATACTATAAATTTCTTGAGAAAAATAAAATATTAAAGCATTTTAAAACAATTACTAGATTTAACTTGATTTTTTTTTCTTTCAAGGGAATATAACCCCTCTGCAGAGTGATTGAAGACCTCCATTTTCTTATAAATTTATTCCCTTACATCTGGATGATAAGTAGAATAAGTGAGAATACTGTAGAAAATATATTTTAACAATATCAGCACACTACTTAAGTAGTAGGTTTGTGCTAGGGCACAATTCAATGTAAATCATCCAAAATATAAAGAAATAATATTTCACACTTACTATAATAATGATTTTCAATTTTGTTTAAACCTATTACGACTTCGGGAACATTCATTGATTGGCTCTTACCAATAGATTATCAATGAGTAAACTTTTAGTCTCTATTTAAAAGTAATGGTATACATGAGATTATAAAACTATATAGATATGTAAATGCTGTTTCTAAAGCTCTATTTAATCTCCACATACTATATTATAACTGAGTGTTAAAATACCTAATTTGTATAAGAAACCATAAATAAATAAGGGAGAAGTTATTCAATGAGAAGTTATGAAAATCCAGAAGGATTAATGGGTTGAAATTATTTTATTCAGAGAATATACTATCAATACACAAAATAATCTTTTTCTTTTTATAAGAAATTTAATTGTTACATTGAAAATTTGCACTACTTCTTGCTACAGAAACAGGATGTGTAGACATTGACAGAAACTGTAATGATAAGGAATTAATTTTTTAAGAAATGTCTAAAACTGAGTTTCCAATACCCATTCACATCCTAATATATACACCCTGCACACACACAAAGGCGATGCTAGTTTTACAGCAAAATCTATTCAAATCACTCTCCCAATTGAATTGATGTCAATATCTCTCCATTGCCTAATATGACACACAAAGTCATTTGCCAGTGTGCCTAACCTAAATTTATTTCTTCAATTTCCACTCCTCCCTCAGTGTTTTTTCTGCTTCATCTATATCTCTCCATTTTGATTCCCCAGTAGGTCATTCCAATTCAGATATCCTTAGCATGGCCCATGCTCTTCTCTCTGCTTGGGAACAGCACGGCTTCTCACCTCCATCACCTCTTTTCTATGTATGAAGTTCTTAGGCCTGTATGTTTTTGCATTTTACATGTTTCCTCAGTCTCATCTATAAGAAATCCTGCCATGGACTATAACTGAATTTGCTGGAATTGTCTATTTTGGAAACTTACAAAAACACCATTGATAGTTTTGAAATGGAACTTCTTCAAATGATTGTGAAATATAAAAAAAAACCTGGTAGCCCCACAAATCTGGATTATACTGAACACCAGTTTAAATTACTATTATTTATCTTTCTTTTCTTCTTTTGGTCAAAGATAGTCTTTATTGAAAATAGAGCTGAACATTTTTCTGGAAAAAATGTTTGTTTTCATTTTAATTGTTGACAAATTTTAATGACTTGTTTTTACATTCTCGCATTTACTTATACTAAAATATTGGTCCATCTCTAGTAGAAGTAATCATACATTTTATGTTCTTTTTTGAGAAAGATTACATGAATAGGATAATTTTAACTGACTATTCATGATACTATTTTAATAGATACAGTACCATAGTTGCATATTCTTGGCTGCCTGCCAGTTATATCCTCAATTTGTACATGCAACATGAAAAAGCTTAAAGATTGTCAGGGTTGAAACAAGAATAAGCCAATATATCTCATATACAAAGATTCAGGATAAAATCTAAACTACTAAATGAATTACAAATAGTTACATTTACCTTGCTTCCAAGACTTCCTCCATTTAAAATACATGTCCATGCTCTGTGCCTAAGGAATTAAAACAGTCAGTATAAACGTGGTTTTTGTGCAGATTAATACATTCCTTAACAGTCATTTTGTTCTTTTCAGTTCAAAAAGTAGTATATACTCGACCTATATACAAGGCAGTTATAATTTTCTTTCAGGAGAAATTGAAATGCCTCTGAATATAAATAATTATATCTATTATAGAAATAAATATACAACATAGAGTAAATATAGATGCAGTTATTGTTTTTCTTTTTTCTTTCTGTTATTTTTATTTTTTTCTGATGGAGTCTCACTCTGTTGCCCAGGCTGGAGTTCAATGGTGCGACCTTGGCTCACTGCCACCTCCACCTCCTGGGTTTAAGAGATTCTCCTGTCTCAGCTTCGTGAGTAGCTGGAATTACAGGCACGTGCCACCATGCCCAGGTAATTTTTGGTATTTTTAGTAAAGTTTGGGATTCACCATATGGTCCAGGAGGTCTCAAACTCCTGATCTCAAGTGATCCACCCTCCTCAGCCTCCCAAAGTGCTAGAATTACAGGCATGAGCCACTGCACTTGGCAGTTTTTTCATTATTGAAAAATTATTAAATAATGTTGGTACCTCTGTTTACTTTCCAATTAAGAGACAAATTTCTTACTAATACTACATTTAAATAATATTTTTTCCAATATTGAAAGTTCTCTTTATTTTCTACTTTTTTTTTTTTAAGAAATGAAATCATGAGATCAGTATATGAAACTTGGTTCTATTTCACTGTTACAGTGAAAACACATTTAGAGAAATCTTGGTCAAAAGGAAGATCAGGTACATGAGCAGCCATTTTATGTTTCTGTATGAGTATGTTCATTAATCACACATAGAGCATGTACATCATTACACTAATATGGAGCAACACTCATAATAATGCAAATTCTCTATTAATGACAAAAAAGGAAGGATATAGTGATACTGGCATTGTGACCAAGGACCAGATATGGTCTGTCAATCTATTTTTGATGTCAAGTGACCATATTTTGAGGATGGTTGTGAGAACAATCCCACTTTTTTGGAAAAGCATTCTCATAATTCTAAACAGCTTTGTGGGTTTAGCCCTCTCCTTGTCGCAATCAAAGACAGAATCAATCACATCACAGTTTATGTCACATTTGTGTTCAGGGATTAAAATTGGGCTAAATATATAGTCCAAGGGTCCAGAGCCAGGATTCCAAAGTAGGACCAGATTCAAGCTCAGTACCTGGCAAGGTACTGCAGAAGTAATTACATAATCTCTGTATTGAGAAGTACATAAAGAGAACATCTTCTGAAAAACAGACTTCTAAAGTGATTTTACAGTTCATAAAGAAATCCAAATGTATGAATGCATTTAAATAACAAAATTTGGAATAGAGAGAGCTAAGAAAATAAACCACATATCTCTGTATAATATAAAATTCCACTAAAATAAATGAAAAAAATTGAATTGGCCAATAAATAGTATTAGGACAGTTTGTATTTTAAATGTAATAAAAACATTAATATGAGATCACAGAATTATACCCTACACAAAACAGAAGTCTAGGTGAATCAATGGTCTAATTGTGAAAACATAAAGTTTAAAACTATCAGGGAACAGAAAGGAACTATTTCTGTGATATTGTACTAAAAAAAGACTTTTTGGCTGGGCGCAGTGGCTCACGCCTGTAATCTTAGCACTTTGGGAGGCTGAGGTGGGTGGATCACCTGAGGTCAGGAGTTTGAGACCAGCCTGACCAACACGGTGAAAACCCATTTCTACTAAAAGCACAAAAATTAGCCGGGTGTGGTGGTGGGTGCCTATAGTCCCAGCCACTCGGGAGGCTGAGACAGGAGAATTGCTTGAACCTGGAAGAGGTTGCAGTGAGCCGAGATTGCACAACTGCACTCCAGCCTGGGTGACACAGCGAGACTCTGTCTCAAAAAGAAAAAAAAAAAGAAAATCTTTCTTAAATAAGGAAAAAACAGAAAGATTAATAAATTTGGCAATAACAAATATAAATATAAAAACAACTGTTTTGCAACACACACGTGTGCATGCGCTCATATGCACCATAAGTGCCAAAGAGGCAAGGAAATATGAACTGCTAATCAAAAAATGAAGAGACGACTATGACATACCTGAAGATGATCAAAGTAGAAGATAGGGCAGGTCGAGACATTAAAATAACTGCAATTAATATATTAAAGACAATTGAAAAATTAAAAACCAGAAGGGATGAAAAATTTCAATATTTAAAACTTAAAAGCACTTAAAATTATAGAATTCAAAATTACAGCTAATGAAATGAATAACATGAAGGCTTATCAGGAAATTAGACACTGGCTATAACATAAACTTTTCAAGGCATCACATAGTTAAATTAATTGAAAAATAAGAATAAAGAGATATACATGCTCAGAAGGACTAGCATACATATGGTAAGAAACAAAGAGAGGAAGAAAATGTGAGTAAGAATGAAGAAACAATATATAAAGAGGTAAAGTATGAGAATTATCTGTAAGTAATAGAAGATATCAATCTACATGTTTAGGAAGCTTCATAAAGTCCCATAGGTTAAACACAAGGAAGAACCCACATGGGAACACTGTAGTAAACCTGCAGACAAGCAATGACAAAATGGAAGAAAATCTTCAGAACAGCCAGATATTTGTAGAACTGGGAAACAAAAGTCTAAAAAGTAAAAACACTGAGCATGAAAGCTGACTTTTCTAAAGAAATGATGAAATTCAGGACATAATGGAATGGCATTTGCAATATGCAAGAAGGAAATAATTGCTAATGTACAATTCTATACCTTTCAAATTTGAGTTGGAATAAAAAGGTTTCAAATAAACAAAACCACGGGAATTCATTATTAGTAAGGAGAAAAACCTATAGGGAAACCAGGCAGAAGTAACTAAGACCTGTAAGACAAAAATAGAATAAAAAATGAAGAATATTGGGAGTGGTAAGCATTCAGATAAATGTAAAAATTGTTTGACTATACAAAATGATGTTTTATAGAGTTTAAAATATATGTAGAACTAAAATAAGTAAAATTAAAATGACAGAGAGGAAAATAGAGTTTATATGTTCCAATGTTCTAATATTTTAGAAATATCAGAAAATTGATGAAAGTAATCATTGGTGTTAGATCATGATAAATCAAGGATGCTCCATCAGAAGAATAGTATGAATTAAAGGAGAAAGTAACTAACAAGTGAATAGAAGGGGAACATGTAATTAAAAAAAAAAGATTAGTGCAAAACAAGGCATAAAAGAAGTAAAAGTGGAAAATAGAGGATATGACCAAATAAAATATTGATAGTAAAAATAAAATTGATTATCAAGTCTAAAAAGATTGACAATTTAAATAATATTGAATTTAAATAACAATATACATAACATTTTTGAAATTCACAAACAGAGAAAGAAAACATAAAATTTTATCTCTCAAGAAATCTCCAATTCCTTTTACGGAGTAATTTTCAGACACAGATGACATCAACAGTGATTATTTCCCTCCAGATATTAAGTAAGGAAACTACACTAAATTTTAATAAACTCTTCTCAAGAGTAGGAAAGAGGGAAGTTTTATATGGGCTATTTCTGATCTGAATTCCAAAAGCTGACATGGAAATTATGAGATAAATATATGTAAATTAATTTTTTCATGAATTTAGTATATAAATCCTAATATAGGTATTAGCAAACATTTACCAAAATATATTTAGAAATATGATATTGTAAGAACTAATATCTTCAATAGTAAGAATATTAAAGATACATAGTGGATATATGACATATTGATGGGTGCAGCAAACCACGGTGGCACATGTATACAATGTAACAAGCCTGCACATTCTGCACATGTATCCCAGAACTTAAAGTAAAATAAAAATAATAACTATAAAAAATACATAGTGAAATAATTAAATTTAAGGTGATTTGAATTGGATTTTTCAGGCTTAGAGTGGAAAGTAAATAAAAATAGTGATTCAAATATGCATAATAAAAATTTTGGTAAATAAAATTTTATCAGTACAAAGTAAAACATTTAAAAGTAAGCACATGAGAAAATAAATTGAAATAATACAAAAAAGATGAGAAAAGAACATCTAGAAAGGTATGAATAGATGGTTCAACAGTTTCAAATATATAAGTAAATTTGGTAAGCTCAAATAACATATATAGCAGTAAAACCACATTGATATAGTTATATGCAGTTATAAATATTAATATTGATGAACCTTAAATGTATACAGTTGAATAAAAAGGTAGTATCCAGAAAAATAAATGCATTTTTTATGATTTTTATAATTTTAAATAAATGCAAGCAAGATGACACATTTTAGATATACTAATATAAAATGTTAAAGATATTCAAAAGACGTATAAGAGAGGCTTGAAGTGTGTTGAGATGTTCTATTTTATTTATTTTTTTTTGAGATGGAGTTTCACTCTCATTGCCCAGGCTGGAGTGCAATGGAGCTATCTCAGCCCACGGCAACCTCTGCCTCCTGGGTTCAAGCTACTCTTCTCCCTAGTAGCTGGGACTACAGGCATGTGCCACCACACCTGGCTAATTTTTGTATTTTTAGTAGAGACGGGGTTTTGCCATGTTGGCCAGGCTGGTCTCCAACTCCTGACCTCAGTCGATCTGCCTGCCTCAGCCCGGCAAAGTGCTGGGATTACAGCCATGAGCCACCGAGCCT
Organism: Homo sapiens; assembly: GCF_000001405.40. Lineage (NCBI taxonomy): Eukaryota > Metazoa > Chordata > Mammalia > Primates > Hominidae > Homo > Homo sapiens. The sequence goes on along the minus strand of NC_000004.12, from coordinate 136,386,134 downwards.
GGCCTAGATGTTCTATTTTATTTTATTTTTATTTTTATTTTTTTTTAGTGATAGGGTCTTGAGCTGTCCTCTAGGCTGGAGTGCAGTGGCATGATCGCAGCTCACTGCAGCCTTGAAGTCCTGGGCTCAAGGGAATTTCAGGGAGGTTTTTTTTTTTTTAACCCTCCAAAGATTCTGTTTATTATTAAAATTTGAGAATCACTGACTTGTATAATTTTCTCTTGGTAGCTTTGAAGGAAATAATTGGCAAATACTTACTGACAACACTCTGACAGTTTAGTCTGGATGGAGCAGCCCTGAACCCTTTGAATGTCTAAGTCTTTTTTTGTTGAAGAGGGGTGTGATGTCTCCCTCTGTCTCCAAGGTTGGAGTGAAGTAGCGTGATCTCAGCTCACTGCAGCCTCCACCTTCCAGGCCTCAAGCAATCCTCCTTCCTCATCCCCTGAAGTAGTTGGGACTACAGGTGTGCATAGCCATGCCCGGCTAATTTTTTTTATTTTTTTAGAGATGGGGTTTCACCATGTTGTTCAGACTGGTCTTGAATTCCTGGGCTTAAGTGATCTTCCCACCTGGTTCTCCCAAAGTACTGGGATTACAGGTGTGAGCCACTGTGCCCAGCCAAAATGTTCTATATTATATAATAGATGTGGGAAATTTGTGTATTTATTGAACAAATTTTTTATTTGTGTAGTTTTAATACAGCCAAATTAATTTTAATAACTAGAGAAGATTCTCACAAAAATATATCCAACAAAATATTAATATGTATAATATAATAAAAAATTCTAATCACTACAAGTAACAGACAACTCATTAAATTTTGGTAGCTAATATGGACAGGCAATTCAGAAACTTATGAAAATTTGCCCAACCTCACTAGTAGTTTTGAAAAGTAGATCAAAACAAGACATATTTTAATAATAAGCTTAAATAACTCTAAGGTATAATATCAAGTAATGACAAATATGCAATTAAAAATATTCTTCCAAACATTTAGAAAGGAAAATAATGTAGTTAATTTAAAAATAAGTTATTTTTACTTAGAAAAAGAAATTTCATTTTTAACCTTTGAGCCAACAATTCCAGTTCATTTTATGTTAGAAATATTTCATATATCAAAACAAAGCGTATTATGCAAATTTTTGGTAAAATACACTGAAAACCATTTGTACATTTTTTAGTGTTAAAGTCACAAGATAGAATATAATGTTGCAGTTAAATGTAAATAATTAGCACTCTATATTGAGGGGAATAAATTTTCGTTAACAACATACTAAGAGACAGACATCAATATATATAATACGATTTATGTAATTTTTACATGTAAAAATTACACATTTTATACAATAATTATGAAATTATTAGCTAATATTTACCGTATGTTGAGCACTATTCTGATACTTTATATACATTAACTCATTGAATTCTCAAAACTCTGTATTTTAGACAATTTTACTTTCCCTATTTTATGGAAAAAAATACTGAGACACAGAGGATAAATAATTGAGCCTAAGTCATCACACATTAAGTGGCAGAATAAATATTTGAACACAAATGGCCTGGTTCTGGAGTCTGTGTTCTTAATCACTCTTCTATGTTGTCTGTGTGTGCATATGTTTGTGGATGTGAGGTGTCTATTTAAAATAATAAGGAATAAAGAAGCATTCTACAGAATCTGTTAATAACTGTGTCATATTAGAGGGAAAAGTAACAGGACTAGAGATGTCAATAAAATCATTCACTAGTTTCATATGTCATTTTTATCTTTTTAAAAAATATGTGTGTCTAATAATACCTTTGTTTTCTTGAAGTATCAAAGTGTGATTGCTAAGAGTAATATGGGGCTTGGCAGAGGGGATTTCAACTAGAACAGAGCTTAGAAATCAATCACATTATAATCCTAAAAGCCCTCAAATATTATTTTATGTGGCCCTTTCAGCTTTCCAGGCAAGTAAACAGAAAAGACATTATTTTACTTACTTGCACTTGGGAGTGTTCAGTGGCTTGTTCATGCTCATAAAATACTTGTAAAAAGTCAGTCCAGATAAATGACACACATTTATAGACAACAGTGCCTACAAATGGTAGGATGAGGTGCTGTTTGGAAGGGGAATAGATGGGCATAAAGCTTTGTTCTTGCATGTGCTTCTCACTCTTCTCCTTTTCCTTATTATTAGGACTCTATATACTAGTGAAGGTTCTTCAAACAGTATCTATAGGACACGTGTGTGTATGCACATATCTACACATACAGTTATGCACCATATAATGGCACTTTGGTCACCAATGAACCGCATATATGAGAGTGGTCTCATAAGATGATAATACTCTATTTTTGCTGTATCTTCATGCTTCAATATGTTTACTCACCCAAATACTTATGATTCTGTTACAATTGCCTACCATATCCAGTAGAGTAACTTGCTACAGGTTTGTAGCCTAGGAGTAATAGGCTATACCATATAGCCTAGCTGTGTAGTAGGCTATACCATTTATGTTTGTGTAAGTAGGACACTATGAAGTTGACTCAATGACAAAGTCACCTAACAATAAATTTCTCAGACCATATATTCACTGATAGATGACACATGCCTAAATATGTGCATATGTGTAGGCAGACATACACATACACATATATAAAAAGACATTTACTATGGTGAATTGGATTATGTGATGATTGTGGAGGCTGAGAATTCCCACAATCTGCTATCTGCAAGCAGGAATCCTGGAAAGGCGGTGGTATTACTCAGTGAGTTCAAAGACCTGAGAACCAGGGGAGCTGATGTTGTAACAACCAGTCCAAGGGCAGGAGAAGATGAGATGAGACATCCAGCTCAAGCTGTGAGGCATAAAAAAAGGGACAGATTTCTTCTCTTTCCATTTTATTTGCTTATTCATGTTCAATTAGATGAGGCCCAACCATACTGGGAAAAGCAATCTGCTTTACTGAGTCACCCTTCAAATGCTAATATCCTCCAGAAACACCCTCATAGACACATCCCAGAAGCTGTGATTAATATCAGCACCCTGTGGCCCACCCAAGTTGGCATATAAAATTAACCATCACAGGGCTGCACCTTGTCAACTTGGCACCAATAAGCACCCTCTTAAACCACATTTAAATTCTAAAGGCAATAACAAGGTCATAATTCCATATAATATGATGCAACTATCTTGCCTACGAATTAGAATGCACTAGCCACTTCCCTGAATTGGAGATAAACTCTTGAGTGATGTTTAATTTTTTAGCAACTCCCAGGTTATAATATGAGATTAATGATACTTCACTGCTATGATAAAAATTCAACACAACTTACTTTACATGATAAGGGAATATGAGAGGAAAGAAAACCAAGATATGCCTACATATATATAATTTATAAGTATATATACTATATATATTATACTTTAAACATATACACTCATAACAAAATAAGGAGGAATACCATGACACTTAAACAGTTCTTATTTCTGTAACTGGTTGTGTGGTTGCAGCTAGGGTTTATAGGGACCTTCTTCCATTACCCATAGTGTATTCCTTTTACTTTCAGAAAGTACCTCAGCTGATTGTGGTTATTTAACTAGTGGACTAAGACAAATCTTTATAACTGAAGGCTCTGGGTCAGGAGTAGTTCTTCCTGGATTGGGTTGTTGTAGTTTTCCATTGACCTTAATCACAGGGCATGAGAATACTATGAGACACTTTAAAGAATCTCGTATATTCTGGGAAAACTGTTCTTACCTCTATTGTGGAGTAGCACTTCATTTCCTTAAGTTTCTTTGTCAATAATTTCCAATCATGTTTCTGTCTTGTCCCTAACCACCCAGCCAAACCATTGGCTACAGCCCATGAATTGGTACATAATCACACATCTGGCCATTTTTTCTTCCAAGTAAAGTGAAAAATTAGGTGTGCTGCTCAAAGTTCTGTCCAATGGGAGGATGTGCCTTCTCTCTTGTCCTCTAGGCATGTACCAGAGAGGGGCTGTTGCACTGCAGCGGTTCACTTGGTGGTGACTGCATATAATGCACGACCATCTGTAATCCAGGTCCAAGTCTTCTCTTCTTCTGTCAACTCACCATAGAAACTGCCCCATAAGACCACAGGTGCAGGCTGAAAGAGAAAATGCAGAGTAGTGAAGTTGGGACCACAGGCATTTGGACTACTTGTTTATGCAATTTATTTGTGCCTTCAGAATCTGCTCCAGCCTGATCATGTATATACCAATTCCATTTCATGATGGAGTGTGCTATGCCTGTTCAACTTCATTGCTTAGTGAGTCAGATAACACCAAGTCCATGATGGGCAGCTAATATTACATGCTAACTTTGTGGCTCATGGTTTAGGGTTCAGTCTCTGCTAAGGCCTAGTAGTAGACCAAGATCTGTTTTCCAAAAGGAGAGTGATTACCTGTGGAGGATGGCAGAGCCTTGCTCCAAAATCCTAAAGACCTGTGCTGCAATTCACCTATGACGGTCTAAAAAAGGCCATTTTAAACAGCATTTCTTTTCATATTTATATTTTTATTTTTTTGAGACAAGGTCTCACTGTGTCACCCAGGCTGGAGTACAGTGGCACAATTTTGGCTCACTGCAACCTCCGCCTCCTAGGCTCAAGTGATCCTCCTGCCTCAGCTTCCAGAGTAGCTCAGACTACAGGCGCACGCCACCATGCCTGGCTAACTTTTTTGTATGTTATTGCAGAGACAGGGTTTCACCATGTTGCCCAGGCTGGTCTTAAACTCCTGGGCTCAAGCAATCCACCTGCCGCGGCCTCCCAAAGTGCTAGAATAGGAGAACTAATCACAGGGTAGATTTGGGGACCTACTAGGTCCACTGTAAGTTAAACCTGAGCTAAAACTCCATGGAACACCTGACCTTCATGTGCCTCTACTCTGACTGGTAGGACACAATGATGTATACAGACTGTTAAAATTAGTATCAATTTAAGCCTGATTATTATGTGTTTCCCCAATGTACCATTATCGTGGCAAAGAATAACAGCATAAATTTATGGTAGCATACTTGGGTCTTTTCTCAGAAGTATCTGGCTTCCTCTTTATTAAAGGGTTTCTTGGTCTGCAAACTGGCGCAAACCTAGGAATTGACTGAGGGGCTGTGGCTCTGTTTTTATAATCCAGGTTACATTTTTATTCACTTGACCTACAAATTTCTGCTTATACATATCAAGAAAAAAGTTAGTAGGCTTCCACTATGGTTTGAAAGTGTGTCTCTTCCAAAATTTATATTGAAACTTAATCCTCATGGTGGTGACATATTGAGGTGTGGCTTTGAGGGAAGTGATAAAATTATGAGGGTTTCATCCTCATGAATGTATTAGTGCTTATAAAAGGGCTGGTGGGTACTAGCTGAGGCCATGTTTTGCACTGCTGCTCTTCTGTCATATGCGAATACAGCATTCATTCACTTCTGCCCTTTCTGTCTTTTCTGCCATATGAGGGCACCTATATATTGCCCTCTATAAGAAATGAGTCTTCACTACATACTGAAACTGGTAGGGTCTTAATCTTGGACTTCCCTACCTTCAGGACTCAGAGAAATAAATTTATGCTCTTTATACATTAGCCAGTCTATGGTATTTTTATAGGAGCAAAAACAGACTAAGACGCCTTTCTGTGTATTTCACTTCTAGGAACATCATGATTAATTACCAGTTTCATAGGTTTACAGAAGCCTGACTGTTCTGATTGATGTTGAATTTTTTTGAGAATAAAGATACAGTTTGATTAATTTTTTCCACTCTTCAATTATTCTTACTACATATTGAATATAATAAAAGCCTAAAATATATTTTGGAATTAAATTCATAAATATAATCCAGACACCTTGAAGTAATAGACTTTTTTTCAGAAGCTTAGCTTTTTACATGCAAATAACTGTAAAACTTCTTGACTAACTCTATGGTCTTGACTTATTTATGTCATGAATAATCAGGGTTAACCTTTAATGACACATATAATCACCAAAAGTAAGTTGTAGAATATTACATAATAATTCCATAAACTTTTTTCAATAAATTTTAAAATAAATCTGTTCACATTATGTACAAACATGTTCAGACACATACAATTAAAACTAAATCCAATACGTTTAACGAGGATGTAATAAATAAATGGATGTACATTTTCTATGTGGATTATTATAATTGGCTGAAAGTATATTAATAAGTATCATCAGCATCATCAATTTACTATTATAAATCAGCTGCTTTATATCAGGCACCATTCTAAGGCTTTATAAACATTATAATTAACGTTAGGTCATAGGGACCTCTCTGGCCTAACATCTTGAGGCCATCATTCACACTGAGAAGACATTGATGTGAGCTTCTAAATTTTAGAACAGAATTATCTACTCTTGTCACCTGAACATCTGTTATGTAAACCATGTGGATCACTTTAAATAAACAGCCCAAACATTTACATTTCAGAAACGCATCAAAGGATTTAACTGTAAATTATTTACAAATAAGAGTTTTATAGACCTCACATAAGACATTGAAATAATCTGTAATTATTTACCTGGATATTTATTCTTAGTATTTTTGAATACACATACATAAAATATTAACACTCCTTACAAACTCAGCTACATCCCAGATCCTGAAACAAATCCGTTTCCTAATCCTGGGAGATTTAATTTGTTCTACTTCAGGTTACCGACATTTTAGCATTCTGAACTTGTGTTCTAATTTCAGTTACTATATTAAGTTTTGTAAGAACAACAACCAAAATAATCCTAATTCTCTGTAGAAATACCTTTAGTGAGTTGAATTAATCTTATATTTTCAATATCTGCAAGCTTCCAATATAAAGAACATGTCTAATTGTTTTGTAAAACATAATTAAAAAAACTCTGCATCTTATGTCCCTTATACTCTTCATATAACTATGCCCTGTTTGCCTTTATATAAGAATTACAAGGTCAGGTGTGGTGGCTCATGGCTGTAATCCCAACACTTTGGGAGGCCGAGAGGGGTGGATCATTTGAGGTCAGGAGTCCACCCTGACCAATATGGTGAAGTCCCATCTCTACTAAAAATACAAAAATTAGCTGGGCATTGTGGCAGGTGTCTGTAATCCCAGCTACTCTGGAGGCTGAAACAGGAGAATCGCTGGAAAGTGGGAGGCGGAGGTTGCAGTGAGCCTAGATCGCACCACTGCACTCCAACCTGGGCAACAGAGTGAGACTCTGTCTCAAAAAACAATAATAATAATAAAATAAATAAAAACATTTAAAAATTACATAGTGGATTTTGTTAGTATTCAAAGCTAGAATTCTGTTAACAGAGTAGATAATTCTGTTCTATAATTCTGTTAATGTTATATCTAGCTGAATCGTGTGTTCCATTTTATTGGATAATATAAACTACATATAATAGAGTTATTTGTGTCTCCCCTAACAAAGCATTTATGGCTCCTCATTTATTCATTGACGCTATAAACAGTAGTTAATTTCCTACTATGTACCAGGAACTGTGCTAGTCTCTGGGGACAAAAATGTCAGATAAGATACCATTCTTTTGTGAATACTATGGTATAGTGAGTACATAAAAATAAATGGTGCAAGTTAGATGACTGAAAGTTCACAAAGCTGTGATCTCATGAATCCTAAGTATCCATTTTAGTCTTGCTAGGTAAGAAACAGCTCTTAAGTAAATAATATTGAACAGGTATTTAAAGAATGAAAGGAACTTAAGTAGAAAAATAATTGAGAGTGTGGGGAAACAATAGAAAAGTCTCCTAGGCAAAATAATAGTATGTAAAAATGGAGACCGGGTGCGGTGGCTCATGCCTGTAATCCCAGCACTCTGGGAGGCCAAGGCAGGCAGATCACCTGAGGTCTGGAGTTCGAGACCAGCCTGATGAACATGGAGAAATCCGTCTCTACTAAAAATACTAAATTAGCCAGAAGTGGTGGTGCATAACTGTAATCCCAGCCAAGATCATGCCATTGCACTCCAGCCTGGGCAACAAGAGCAAAACTATGTCTCAAAAAGAAAAAAAAAACCATACAATTTTTGGAAAAAATTATAAAATATTATTGTCTTTGTATCTGTGGTATACTGGAGTAGAAAGTGACAAAGTTATAACCTAGGTCAATAGTAAAAGATGGCGGAGTGTGTGAGGAATGTTTGAACTCGTGATGACAGTTAAAAAAATATAAAGTTTATTTTAGTAGCATTTGGGAGATAAGACAGTGAAAAATAGCATATGATATGTGAAGATAAATGTTACTTCTCAGTATATATCATGCGTATAAAGATGGATAGTGGTGTCAGTCACTGAGATAGGAGACATCAGAGGAGATATATTTAATTTTTTATGGTTGTGAAGGTGTGCCGATGAGATCCCAAATTTGGAATACGTTCAGTTTCAGGTAAATTTGAACTTTATTTAATATATATTTAAGATTCCATCTTGTGTCAGAAAAACTTTTAGCTCCTCTAGGTATTAGTAGACAGTTGGGGATATGAGTCTGAAAGTCAGTGAAGAAGTTTAAATACATATTTGAAAACCACTGGTATATACATGATATATAGATCGTAATGGAAGCTGTTAACATGGAAGAGGTGAAATTGAAAAGGAAAAGTATAGCACTAAATCTTGAGAGGCAATGTTGAGAAAGGTAGAGGTGGTAATCGAGAAAAAGAGATCAAGAAGCTGGAGTCAGAAACAACAGAATAAGGTAAATAGAGCTTAGGGGGCAAAATTCAAGAAACTGTTTCAAAAAGGGAATGGCTGGGCGAGGTGGCTCACACCTGTAATAGAGCTTTTGGAGACTGAGGCAGGCAGATTGCTTGAGCCCAGGAGTTTGACACCAGCCCTGGCAACATGGCGAAACTCTGTCTCTACAATAAATAGAAAAATTACCTGGGTGTGGGTGGAGCGTGCCTTTAGGTCCAGCTACTTGGGAGTTTGAGGTGAGGTGGGAGGATCACCTGAGGCCCGGAGGTCAAGGCTGCAGTGAGCTGTGATCGCACCACTGAACTCCAACCTAGGTGACAGAGTAAAACCTTGTCTCAATTAAAAAAAAAAAAAAAAAAGAAAAGAAAAGAAAGAAAAAAGAAAAAGAAGTAAAAAGAAATAGGGGAGCAATGTAGAAGATAATTGAGAAACCTAAAAATATGCTTCCAAATCAACCCCCCAGAAGGTTTTGAGTGTAAGAGTAAGTGTGGTTTTGATGGAGAAAAATACAGCTTAAATTTGGCTGAGAATAATCATCAGTGCTATTGATAGTGACGATAGGAGTAAAGGTAAAATAATGCTCAAGGAAAGGGGTGTGCTTCAGTTAAAGCATGAAACACTAAAAGAAGGTCATACTGCTTAGGGAGTATAATCGCAGATGGCAGAGTGGAAAGTATTCTAAAGTTTAGGTGAGGGGCAATAAAGCTGCAGAATTGAGATTGAATTTGCAGTAGGTTATAGATTGCAAGAATAAGATATGAGAAGGGTAAGGTATTTTGAAGAGGAAAAACAGTATACTAAATGATTTTACTTTGTGCAGACTTTTTTATATTTTGCAGAATACATAAAATTTAAATAGAGATTGACATTCCCTTACATTCCATGGCTCAAATCCTGTAAGAGTAATAAACTCACATTCCCTACCCTAGCCCTTGACATTTATAAAATATCTGCTATGGTGACCAGGATTTGGTGTGTGTGTGTGTGTGTGTGTGTGTGTGTGTTTCTTTTTCTCTTTCCTTTTTCCTTAAGCTAAAAGATCTGAGGATAATTGATCAACATGGTAGAAATCTTTACCTTCTGCTGCTTAAAACATACTTCCTCATCCATTAATTCAAAAATTGACTATTATTTGAATATAGCAGAGCCTATGCTAGGGTATTGTAAGAGTGGAGCCAATTGAAACACAGGTGGATTAATTTGTGAATATGCAGATCATTTTTCATTACTAGAGGCTGCCCATGACTATATTTTCAAACATATCAGCTTGAAACATTTGGTATATGTATAAATAATGTTCATCATAAAAGCATTAACATTGTGTTAGAAGGTGAAATAAGTGTAATAAGTGCACCTGATTTAACATTGTCATCCTTCAACTTGTGATAATTTCAAAAGACATGAAACAGTATCTTATGCATCTGAAAAATCTGTACAATGTCATAATTTTAATTTATCAGTAAGTGTTTCTACATTAACTATGCACAGGTTTTAAAAATAGAGATTAAAATATGAAAGAGATCAAGCACTTTACAATCTAATTAGCTCAAAATTGGATGAGTAATACAAATGCATAATTAATCTGGTTTGATTATGACAAACTGGAGAGGAAGATTATGGAATTAGTAACAGAAAAGAGTATCATTAAAAAAAAACAAAACTTTATAATCAAGGCCAAAGTAAGAGAAATTTTCTCAAACATCTTTAGAATAATTTTTCTATACCCTATTTTATGAAAAAATTATACTATAAATTAAAAAATAAATATAGAGTGAAACATAAAAATATTTTACTTCTAAAAGAAATCCTAAAAAAAGAGCAAAGCAAAACAAAACCAAAGATCAACTCTTGTAAAATACTTGTGGAATATAAAAATTATAAAAAATTTACTTTTCTATTTTTACTTTTATTTTTCAATAAATTTAAACTTATAAAAATTGTAAGACTAATACAAAGAATGTTCATTAACCCTTTACCCATTATCTCAGGAATGCATTAGTTATTAAAGAGTGGGGGAGTTCCTGATAAGAGGATACATTTAGCCCATATTCTCTCCACTCTTGTATGTACTTTCTTTCCCCTCCATCTTCTATCATAACGTGATGCAGCACAAAGGTCTTCATCAGATGCCAGCACCACACTCTTAGACTTCCCAGCCTCCAGAACCATGAGCTGAATAAACTTCTGTTGTTTGTAAATTGTTCTGTTGTCTGTTATAGCAGCAGAAAATGGACTAAAGCACTTTTTATCTATCCATATACCTATCTATCATTTGTTATAGGTGTGGACTCACAGATTTCCATCTTATTTCAAAGTTTATAATTCATCACTTTCATTGGTTATATTATCCCAGATTTGGCTTCCAGAGAAGCCTCTTTAAAGTGGCACCTTTGTCCTTGTGACATGCATCTATTGTTGTTATTTTTCTTTAGTATTTCCTTACTTCAGGAATAGCAAGGTGTTCTAATATCATCTGGTAGTTCTCTTATTTACAATATTAGGTAATATTACATAATATATTATATAATAAACTTATTCTCTTACTCTGTAAGAGTAATAAACTCGGCCAGGCGCGGTGGCTCACGCCTGTAATCCTAGCGCTTTGGGAGGCCGAGGCAGGCAGATCATGAGGTCAGGAGATGGAGACCATCCTGGCTAACGAAGTGAAACCCTGTCTCTACTAAAAATACACAAAAATTAGCCAGGCGTGGTGGCGGCCACCTGTAGTCCCAGCTACTCGTGAGGCTGAGGCAGGAGAATGGTGTGAACCCAGGAGGCGGAGCTTACAGTGAGCCCAGATAGCGCCACTGCTCCAGCCTGGGCGACAGAGCCAGATTCCGTCTCAAAAACAAAAACAAACAAAAAAAAAACACAAAGGAGTAATAAACTACATCTCCTACCCTAGCTTTTGACATTTAGAAAAATATCTGCTATGGTGACCAGGATTTGTGTGTGTGTGTGTATATATAATATAATATGTACTATTATATGATATAATATGTACTATTATATGATATAATATGTACTATTATATGATATAATATGTACTATTATATGATATAATATGTACTATTATATGATATAATATGTACTATTATATGATATAATATGTACTATTATATGATATAATATGTACTGTTATATGATATAATATGTACTATTATACGATATAATATGTACTATTATATGATATAATATGTACTATTATATGATATAATATGTACTATTATGATATAATATGTACTATTATATGATATAATATGTACTATTATATGATATAATATGTACTATTATATGATATAATATGTACTATTATATGATATAATATGTACTATTATATGATATAATATGTACTATTATATGATATAATATGTACTATTATATGATATAATATGTACTATTATATGATATATGTACTATTATATAATATGTAATGTTATATAATATGTAATGTTATATTATATGTAATGTTATATTATATGTAATGTTATATTATATGTAATGTTATATGTAATATTATATTATGTAATATTATATTATATAATATGTAATATTATATGTAATATTATATTATGTAATATTATATTATATTATATGTAATATTATATAATATGTAATATATAATATAATATTGTAAATCTCTTATTTAAAATATTATGAAAAAGAATAAAATATTTAAGAATAACCATAACCAAGGAGTTGAAAGATCTGTACCTGGAAAATTAGAAAAGAATGTTAAAAAAGTTAAAGAAGACACAAATAAGTAGAAATAGACATCCCATCTTCATGGATTAAAACAATTTAAATTGTTAAGAGGTAGCAATTAAGATGTCCACACTACCCAAAGTGATCTACAGTTTCGATGAATGTCTATTAAATTACCAGTTTACCATCAATTTTTCAGAAATATAAAAATGTATATGGAATCTCAAGTGACCTTGAATAGCCAAACAATTTTGAAAAAGAGGTTGGATGACTCACTATTTCTAATTTCAAAACATACTACAAGAATACAGTAATCACAACAGTATGATTTGGCCTAAAGAAAGACAAATTAAACAATCGAATAAAATACAAAGCTGAGAAATAAACCTCTTGTTTATGATAAAAAGGCCTTCAAAAAAAATTAACACCCAATGGGGAAATGACAATCCCTTCAATAAATGGTGCTGGGAAAAAATGGATATCCATATACCAAAAAATAAAGTTTGACCTTTATCTTACAGATATTATAGCATATACAAAAATTACTTCAAAATGGATTAAAGACCTAAACATAAGGCTTAAAACTATAAAAAAAAAAAACCTCCTAGATAAAGCCATAGGGAAAAACTTTGTAATATTTTAGTTGGCAGTGATAAAAAACCAAAAGCATAGGCAACAAAAAAAACATAGACAACTGGAACTTCATGAAAATTACAAACTTTTATTCATCAAAAAATACAATCAGTGGAATGAATTATCAACCTAGAGAATGAGAAAGAAATTTTTAAATCATGTATTTATAATGGGAATACGGGTTTCAATGTGTAGAATATTTAAAGAACTCTTAAAACTCAATAACAAAACATCACATAACCTGAATTTTAAAAATTAACAAAGGACTCAAATAGACATTTCTCCAAAGATACATATATATGGCCAACAAATATATGGAAAGATGTTCATCATTACTAATTATTAGAGAAATACAAATAAAAACCATGAAATCCAAACCTCACAACCGTCAGGATGGCTAGTATTTAATGAAAGCAACAACCAACCTCCACCCCACCTCAAAACTAAAAAACACATAATAAGAATTGGTGAGGATGTAAAGAAATTGGAAAACTTGTGCACTGTTGGCAAGAATGTAAAATGGGGCAGTCTGTATAAAAAACAGGATGGAGCTATCTCAAAAAATTAAAATAGAACTACCATATCATCCAGCAATCCCATTTCCAAGTATATGTCTAAATAAATTGAAAGCAGCCACTTGAAATATTTGTGTACCCATGTTCACAGTAGCACTATTTACAACAGCCAAAAGCTAACAACAGCCTAAATGTCTATCAGTGGTTGAGTGGAAAAAAACAACTGTGGAATATACATACAATAGAATATCACTTAGCCATAATGAATGAAGAAATAAAATACTGATACATGTTACAGCATAAATGAGTTTCTAAAACATTATTCTTAAGTGAAATAAGCAAGACACAAAAAGTCACGTATTCCATGATTCCATTTATGAAATATCCAGAAAATCCATGGTGACAGAACTCCAGTTGGTGATTGCCTGATGCTGGGGGCAGAGGGAGGTAAAACAAAAACAAAAACAACAACAACAAAAAACTAGCTCTTTAAATGTTAAAGGGTTTTACTTTGCTGTACTTGACATAGCCTGGAAATAGATAGTAGTTAGTTGTATGACATTGTGAATGTACTAAATGCCACATAATTGTTTATTTTAAAGTAGTTATTTTTATGTTACATGATTTTACATCAATAAATTATTAGAAAAAATAAAGGAATTGAATATGTACATATTTTACAGGTATTTTCTATACAACTATAAAGAAACAGAATTCCAAACTTATGCAAACTGTCCTAGATAATATTTCACAATTTATTTTTATACGGCTAGTGTATTTGGAAAATAAATGAAAGTCATGAGAGGGAAAGGAGAAACATGTTAGAATGCTGTTGTGAGAGCCCAGGCTGGTAAGATATATGACAACCAAAAAGCAGAGACATCTATGTGTCTTATATATTTTTGACACATAATCAACAGGAATTGTTTATTGACTGTGTGAACCAAATAAAGAAAATGGACTTTACAGATATCTCTTAGTTTTTTGGTATGTATATGCTTTGGGGTGTTATTGACAAGCTGCAAGAAAAATGTTTGAAATTTATATTTTCAAACTAAGTTAATAGCTGTTATTTTCATCTTAAACCTGAGCTGTTATAAAATATCGATGTCATTAACACTGATGCCACATGTAACCGAAATGTGCCCCATAAGCATTTTTCTTTAAAACAAATGCAATTTAAAGAACAGAAGCCTGGACCATAAGTGTACTTTATTTCCTCTTGGCTTTTTTAAAAAGAAATGTTTTAGTCATTGAGGGGAATAAAAAGGAAAACCTCAAAATTTAAAAGAAATGTTATCATTTATCTTACTGCTATTAGAATTAAATGACTTACTGAAAATTTGCTGGCAATCTACAGATTTAATAGTTATAGTTAATATTTGCTAAGTAGGAACAGTGCAAACTAGTCTGTATGATTAGATTTGTGTTTTTAACTTCTTAGAAAATTCCACCTGAAGAAGATGTATTAGAGTAGTATGTGGACAAATATTCTTCATAGATAATAGTATGAAAGGGAAAAATAATATTTCTAAAAAGGTATCCAGTCAATTCAAAAATAATACTTATTTAAGCTAATATTATAGGAACCAAATTTATTTATTCAGTGATAGTTATTCTGATTAACAAAATATTTCATCTATTTGCAACATGGTTGTTATAACCATCTTAATGGACACATTAGACACATTAGACAATATTTTATCTGTTGGTATCTGTACAAGCTACATGTGCTCAGAAGGGACTTAAATACAGGAATTTTTGTTATAAGTGAAACATATTCATCCTTCAGTATTCTTGGATAATTTTTTGCAGGATCTCCTTTATATACCAAAATTTGAGTATACTCAAGCTCTTTATATAAAATGGTATAATTTGCACATATGCACAGCTGTGTCAATAATTATACTGTATTGTTTAGGAAATAATGACAAGAAAAAAAGCCTGTACGTATTAAGTACAATTTCTTCAAATATTTTTTATCTGCTGTTGGTTGAAAATGTGGGTGTGGACCCCACAAATACAAAGGATTAACTGTACATTTATTCACTGTATTTCTCATGCTCTTATTTTAAAAATTATACAACAAAGATCAAAATAATAATTTTAGTAGCTTAACTTCCCATAGGAGCTTAATGAAGTAAACCTGTGAATTTCATTCATGCCAAAACAGATACTGTGTTCCAACATCGAAGTCCCATGTGAATAAGCAGGTGACATGTTGTTTACAACTTTCTTTTAAGCACTCAAAAACTGGGCAAGCCACTCAAGACAGCTGGCAGTAGTATAGCACATAATTTTCATTGCAGGGCCTATGTTTCCCTCCTCTGCTTTGTGTGCTATGATGAAATAAAGAGACATGATTTTTTAGTTAAATTTCTTTTTTTGTGTGTCTTCATAGATACATGAAGATAGATATCCTCTGATAAAGAAAAGAATAAGTAGTAAATATTCACCTGTTTCTACATTATGTCTATGTCTTGTTTTTCACAACCACACTCCTGTTTGAAATCAGATATTTCAGATTTAGAATTCTTTACAAGTAATTTGTTCTCTCTTGCTCTCTCACTTTCCCCGTTTTTCTTTCAGGGTTCCTATTCAAGTTGGAAAAGCTGCAATAACTAGCAATGATTAGTCTTCTCCAGAAGCTGCTCCATCATTACAGAGCAGTAACTATGTTTTCCTTTGTCTGTGGAATAATCCAAATGGTGGTGCCCTTCACTATCATCTACGCAAAAGCTGTGCAAACTACAGTAGATAGTTCTCAATAAGCAGCAAAAGTGGTAGTATTATTTACTGAAACAATTATATTGCTCTCCTTATATCTAAGTATTTCTGTGTATAACAATCTAAAACTAATTGTGCTATCTTTAGAATAGGGTAATCTAAGATTTAAAGTAAGAAATAGTATTATACCTTAAAAAACATAATTTGACATGTGGAACTGTTCCAATTTCTGCATCACAACAGCTCCTCACCCTCATCAATAATACCCAAAACACTACAACTTTTCCATATATAGGTATATATAGCTTTAGACATTAACTTTTTTATTGTACAGCTACTCTATACTAGACTCTATTCTAGACACTGGAATTTCAACAATAAACAATATACACCTCTATTTAAAAGGATCTTGCATTGTGATGAAGCTGAAAGATATTTAAATAAGCAACCAGTGTTATTTCAGTGGTAAGACCTACAAAGAAAATAAACAGTACTCGTTAGAAAAAGGAATAAGAATGACCTAAAGGGTGAGGATTATCAGATACGGTCTCCAGGAAAACCCTTTCTATAGAAGTCATGGTTGAGTCATAGAGCAAAGAAGGAAGTTTAATGTTTCATTTGGAGTAAAGCATCATAAAATACACACAACAAGTGCAAATCATTTAATATACCTCCTGAAAAGGAGATTTTCAGGTTCAAGTGAAAGGAAGATTAGTGTGGTTAAAGCATAGTGACATAGAACATAAAAAATAGTTTAAAAATAAGCTTAGAAAAAGAAAGGGTCAGATGCTGCAGGCCTTGCACGGAGTGCACGGGAGTGCCATTTGGTGTGATGGGAACTATTAGGGTAGCTATGACGTTTGTGAAGGGGGTGTTGGCAATAGTAACCAAATGTTGCTAGATAGTAATAAAATGAAACAAAAAATAGGGCAAATCTCCTAACAATCTACAATATAGATCCTATATTCCAGTGCCTCAGGAAAAATAGTTCTTTAAAATACACAAAGTGAAGCCAGCAGAAATCTCATTTTATTTTCTAGTAGTATATATACATACAAACACATTCCACATATATACATATATATTACTCACACATCTATATATACATATATACACACATATACATATATAAATTAGGTAAAACTGTTTTGCATTTAGAGGCAAACTTTGAACCCATTTTCTGTCATAATGTACAAGATAATCTTTATTTTGCCTATATTAAACCTTTAGAATTCCTCAAAGCAGAAATTCAGTGAGCAGCTTGTATAGATTTATTACATTTATGGGATTAATAAGATAAAGTTAAAATTTTGTGTGAAACATCTTTCAATCAGTGATGATCGTATTGCTAACAAAAGATTAATTTGATATTTATACACATACACATATATATGAACAATACTAAAAAATACTGTTTCAATAAGCAAAAATTAAACTTTGCTTAGGTACAGCTTTGTGATAACTTAGAAAATAGATGAATTTTGGGGCAATTCATTAAAACTGTAAATACAAATCAGATATTTCAAATAAAATAAAATTTTAAAGGCAAAAACATACAGTCGAAGGAAAATAATATTAATATCCCTAGAATGAATATTGAAAAATCTTATTTATTTAGATGCCAAGAAAAATAACAACTCATTCACCAGCCCCTATGGAACAGTTTAGACATTATTAAATGGATCAGATAAAGTATGATTGTGTATACTCAGAATTTGTACAGTGAGGGTTTGGTTGAGATAGAGATTGATCATGAATGGCTTTGTGAAATGGGTGGCCATTGAGTTGCTCTTCAAGGTCAGGTAAGATACACACATTCAGAAATTTGGGAAAGGACATTTCTACAAAGGGTACAACAAGAACAAAGTCATGGAAACAGAAAATGTGAGAGGAATTCAGTTAATTGGCTTATAGCGTGTTTTTTAAAAAGTGTGGCTGTGGGATAAATTAGAAAAGGCATGTGAGAATCATATACTGAAGACTAAAAACTAAAATTAGTCATCCTTCCTTACCTCCCCCTTGATCTGTTTTTTCCCTTCTTTCATTGTTCCTTTCCCCTTTCCTTCTCCAGTGTTTTCCTACACATCTAATTATTTAAAAGATTGTCATAATATTCCATTATAAGTATAATATTTAGTTATATTGCCTTCCTGTAGTTAGGAAGTTAAATTTTGTTATAAGCATTCCTTTATAAGTGCTTATGGATGCATTTGCCAAGGTAAACAAATAAGTCTGTTGGTTTATCTTATTCTTTAGGGTATTGGGCAGAAGCTCAAGTCAAATTAAGGATGATCTATATTGCTAGGCACCCATGCCCCAATCCTAAATTAATCAGGGGTTCTTAGTATCAGGAGAATCTAAGGCACAAGGGTTATATTTATGCTAATTTTGTTAATATGGCTAGAAGGCAATGGAGTATAGTGACACACAGAGCAGCCTTGGAGTCCTAAGAATAGAATTTATTTCTCAGCTACACTAAAGGAATTATTCACATTATATAATATTTAAAATATTCCTTTTGTCACTTAACAATATATTGTGAACATCTCCGCAGGTCAGCAATTGTATTTAACTCGTTCATTTCAACTGCTGGTTTGTATTTTATTTTGTATTTATACCGAAACATACAAAATTTATATTACTTGTTATCTACCCGTGTATACTTAAGTTGATTTTAATATTGTATACTATTAAAAATAATAATGCAATGGGTGTCTGTCGATGTGCTTCTTTGAGCACATTTAAAAATACATGTATGTACATTTAAATTTTTATTTTTATAGATCAACTATCCTGAAATAAGTTATATCAATTTTTTATTCCATAAAAAGGTATGTTTCTCTGGTTTCTTATGCACACTTTTATTTTATTAGTGTTCTAAAGTAAAATTTGAAGTTAAAAAATCCCAAAAAGTTGTGCAGTATTAATTTTCCTTGCATTTCCATCGCTCTTTTGTGATCTCCTGTCGATATCAAATTTAGATACTCTGCTGAGGAGAGAAAGCTGGATTAAGAAAAACTGCAAGATAATAAGTGCATCCACTAATAGCTATGAAATGAATATATATATTTTTTGGTGTGGACACATATATTTTATATTTCCAGCAATATGTGTGTTTATATAGCATTATATTAATTTATAATAATTTGTTAAAATATTCTATATTTGGACATTGAAGTCACATCTATTTTAATATGTATTACTATTAATACATGCCTTTGTTCTAAATAAATTTCTCTATTTAATCCCTGGTAAATATATTCCAGAGTACAATCTATAAAAAATTTAAAAGAACATTATTATTTTAAATACACTTTTTCTGCATAAAATAAAGCTCTTCAAATAATAAGCACTTACAATACATTTTTCTAGGCAATTGATAGAAATGCCGTATTTTATTTTATATTCTTGATAAATCTATAAGAAATTGTTGCTATTTTCTTTTTTCCAAATGGCAAAGACAAAGAAACTACTTTGTGAAAGAAATAAACCCACATTATAATTCAGTACAAAAGTATGCCCCAGTCACAAAGACTAGATTACCGTCCACCCACTCATTTAAGTCAGAAGCATGAACTACACACTTCCTGTCTCTTTCTTTTATATAAGTTGATAATGAGCCAGGATAGACTGGTACTGTAAAACTGCTTTTGTCTATTCTGATTGATCTGACATTCAATCTGATTGATTGGTACTTAATGCTGTGTTGGTTTTTGAATACTGTGAATATTATACCTGATTACATCTTATTCCATATCCAATCAATCTTGAAGAACTATAATTTCTATTCATAAGCCTCACTGCTATATGTCTACTTTTCTCCATCTTCACATTAATATTCACGTAAATATTCAAAACAGGACAATATTCTCTTTCTCAATACTAAAATAAATTCCAAACTCCTAAATCGAGGCTGTTGCAATTTTCCAGTAGGGCTCCAAAAGTTCTTAAGGCAAAGTCCGAGCTCATTTACGTGACACAAATAATTTTGTTTTTGTTTTTGTTTTTGTTTTGAGGCGGAGTCTCACTCTGTGTCACCCAGGCTGGAGTGCAGTGGCGCGATATGGGCTCACTGCAAGCTCCGCCTCCCAGGTTCACGCCATTCTCCTGCCTCAGTCTCCCCAGTAGCTGGGACTACAGGCGCCCGCCACCACGCCTGGCTAATTTTTTTGTATTTTTTTAGTAGAGACGGAGTTTCACCACCTTAGCCAGGATGGTCTCGATCTCCTGACCTCCTGATCCGCCCGCCTGGGCCTCCCAAAGTGCTGGGATTACAGGTGTGAGCCACCGCGCCCAGCCTACACAAATAATTTTTTAATAGACGATGCAGTGGAACAAACATACCTAGGTAAAAATCTTGGCTCCAATTTTTCTAAATTGTTTAGTTTTGGGACAAAAATTGTAATGAGTCTTTGCTTTATGTTTCCATCCATGAAGTGTATTAAAATAAGCTCCTCTTGCATACTCAGTAGAAAAAATATGACACGTATCCTCTTTCAATAAATGTTAGCCTTTCCTCTTAACTACAACTACCATCATCAATCATCAATCATTATCAAACATGGCCTCAATATTACAAATGGGTCCCTGCGTAGTTGTAGCTTCACTTGATGCTAATCTAAAAATTGAAATATAGACACAATGTTACATAAACCACCCAAATCTAATTTTTCCAACTTTATTGAGATATAGTTGACAATTAAAAATTGTACATATTTAATTACATGGCTTTATTACTTTCTATACATACACGTTGTAAAACTAATTTAAATATCCAACTTTCAGAGGTCTTATTTTATAGATTGGCACTTAAGACTTAACAATTCAGTTCCGTTTGCAACTCTGCCATTCTCATAATTGTTCATGCCTGATTTTCAGCACTTTGTGGTATAGCTGGAGGAGATGAAGATATCTTTATACATTTCCATTCAAACCTTCCAAGTTTGAAAACATGTTGTGGGTAATAGTTGGCTAACTTAAGCATATCATTCTCTCTTTTCAAAAATTATAAATTAGCTTAGTCATTTCTTCACAATCCTTAATTTTGTCCCCATATCATTCAAGTACTAGAGCTTCTGCATAAGCCAATGCTTTCCTTTCCACCTATAGCGCATTCCTGCTGCAAGTGATGCTGCAGCATGCTAGGAGTTCTAGCCATGTCAATGACAATCAGCCCTTGCTCCCATCTGATGAACGAAAGATCCAGGTTCAGAGTGCCATTCTGAGTGTCTATTTCCTGTGGTCACTGTTAATATCAATTGTTTTCATTTGCATTACTCAGTTCCTGAGCTATGGGTTTGGGAATAATTATTTCATAAGGAATAACCTAGAAGTATTATCGAATGAGGTAATAGGAAGAGTGAAATGGAGACTTCGAAAAAGCCAGTAACATGTGCACTAATTACTCAACAGGGTTCAAATTTAGTTAAAACTTCATTACCTATATAATGAATACTATGTCATAAGGTAGATATGAATACTGTGTCATAATGTAGATAATGAAAGTTTAACTAAATTTGAATCCTGTGTATCATCCAGAATGGTCTTAAGAATAGTTCATCTAAAATATGAGAAATTAGGGCATTTATTCACCATTTCCATCTTTACTTTTTTGGTGGTGGACCCTGAGATATTAAATCCCAATGTTGCGGGACTCTGAGTTTGCAGACACATGGGTTCTTTAGGCAAACGAGTTAAAGAAAACATGACTCATAACTGAGGTGAGACATTGCAAGGCTACATGGAACATTCCATAACCTATAAGAGTTCAAGTAGGTGAGGATAAAATATAAATTATTGAAATTTCAAAAGAAATGTATTGTTGACTGTGATAAGCAACATTTTATTGGAATGATAGGAAGAGAAACCTGATTAAAATGGATTGAAGAGAAGGGGAAATGAAGATATATGACAGGAAGTTATATGACATTCAAAAAATTTAGCGTAATAGCAAAACAAATATGGCAATGATACTATGGTATAATTTAAGGAAAGTAAGAATTTTTCTCTTGTGACACTAGATACTCTTTGAGCTTGGATTCTATAAGAACAATTATGGTTTGAAAACAGAAGAACCAGCAGTTCTTTGATGGACTTATAGTAAGAGTGAGGAATAAACTTTGTTATTTTAAGCCGTTGAAAAAAATTGTGTGTGTGTGTGTGTGTGTTTATATACTTTAAGTTCTAGGGTACATGTACACAACGTGCAGGCTTGTTACATAGGTATACATGTGCCATGTTGGTTTGCTGCACCCATCAACTTGTCATTTACATTAGGTATTTCTCCTAATGCTATCCCTCCCCACTCCTCCCTCCCCCTGACAGGCCCCAGTGTGTGATGCTCCCTGCCCTGTGTCCATGTGTTCTCATTGTTCAATTCCCACTTATGAGCGAGAACATTCAGTGTTTGATTTTCTGTCCTTTTGTTAGTTTGCTGAGAATGATGGTTTCCAGCTTCATCCATGTCCCTAAAAAGGACATGAACTCATTCTTTCTTATGGCTGCATAGTAATCCATGGTGTATATGTGCCACATTTTCTTAATCCAGTCTATCACTGATGGACATTTGGGTTGGTTCCAAGTCTTTGCTGTGGTGAAGAGTGCCACCATAAACATAAGTGTGCATGTGTCTTTATAGTAGCATGATTTATAATCCTTTTGGTATACAACCAGTAATGGGATCACTGGGTCAAATGGTACTTCTAGTTCTAGATCCTTGATGAATCACCACACTGTCTTCCATTATGGTTGAACTAATTTACACTCCCTCCAACAGTGTAAAAGCATTCCTATTTCTCCACATCCTCTCCAGCATCTGTTGTTTCCTGACTTTTTAATGATCGCCATTCTAACTGGCATGAGATGGTACCACATTGCGGTTTTGATTTGCATTTATTTGATGATCAGTGATGATGAGCATTTTTCATGTATCTGTTGGCTGCATAAAATGTCTTTTTTTGAGAAGTTTCTGTTCATATCCTTTGCCCACTTTTTGAAGTCGTTTTTTTCTTGTAAAGTTGTTTAAGTTCTTTGTAGATTCTGGATATTAGCCTTTGTTAGATGGGTAGATTGCAAAAATTTTCTTCCATTCTGTAGGTTGTCTGTTCACTCTGATAGTGGTTTCTTTTGCCATGCAGAAGCACTTTAGTTTAATTAGATCCCATTTGTCTATTTTGGCTTTTGTTGCCATTGCTTTCGGTGTTTTAGTCATGAAGTATTTGCCCACGCCTATGTCCTGAATGGTATTGCCTAGGTTTTCTTCCAGGGTTTTCATGGTTTTAGGTCTAACATTTAAGTCTTTAATCCATCTTGAATTAATTTTTGTATAAGGTGTATAGAAGGGATCCAGTTTCAGCTTTCTACATATGACTAACCAGTTTTCCTAGCACCATTTATTAAATAGGGAATCCTTTCCCCATTTCTTGTTTTGTGTGTATGTTTTGATGGTTGTAGTTGTGTGGTGTTATTTCTGCAGCATCTGTTCTGTTCCATTGGTCTATATATCTGTTTTGGTACCAGTACCATGCTATATGGTTACTGTGGCCTTGTAGCATAGTTTGAAATCAGGTAGAGTGATGCCACCAACTTTCTTCTTTTTGCTTATGATTGTCTTGGCAATGTGGGCCCTTTTCTGATTCCATATGAACTTCAAAGTTGTTTTTTCCAATTCTGTGAAGAAAGTTATTGGTAGCTTGATGGGGATGGCATTGAATATATAAATTACCTTGGGCAGTATGGCTATTTTCATGATATTGATTCTTTCTATCCATGAGCATGGAATGTTCTTCCATTTGTTTGTGTCCTCTTTTATTTCATTGAGCAGTGGTTTGTAGTTCTCCTTGAAGAGGTCCTTCACATCCCTTGTAAGTTGGATTCCTAGATATTTTATTCTCTTTGTAGCAATTGTGAATGGGAGTTCACTCATGATTTGGCTCTCTGTTTGTCTATTATTGGTGTATAGGAATGCTTGTGATTTTTGCACGTTGGTTTTGTATCCTGAGACTTTGCTGAAGTTGCTTATCAGCTGAAGGAGATTTTGGGCTGAGACGATGGCATTTTCTAAATATACAATCATGTCATCTACAAACAGGGATAATTTGACTTCCTCTTTTCCTGATTGAATACCCTTTATTTCCTTCTCCTGCCTAATTGCCCTGGCCAGAACTTCCAACAGTATATTAAATAGGAGTGGTGAGAGAGGGCATCCCTGTCTTGTGCCAGTTGTCAAAGGGAATGCTTCCAGTTTTTGCCTATTCAGTATGATATTGGCTGTGGGCTTTTGTCATAAATAGCTCTCACTATTTTGAGATACCTTCCATCAATACCTAGTTTATTGAGAGTTTTTAGCCTGAAGGGCTGTTGAATTTTATCAAAGGCCTTTTTTGCATCTATTGAAATAATCATGTGGTTTTGGTCACTGGTTCTCTTTATTTGATGGATTACATTTGTTGATTTGCATATGTTGAACCAGCCTTGCATCCCAGGGATGAAGCTGACTTGATCGTGGTGGTGAAGCTTTTTGATGTGCTGCTGGATTAAGTTTGCCAGTATTTTATTGAGGATTTTTGTATCGATGTTCATCAGGAATATTGGTCTAAAATTCCCTTTTTTTGTTGTGTCTCTGCCAGGATTTGGTATCATAAAATGATACCAAATATGATAATGCTGGCCTCATAAAATTAGTTAGGGAGGATTCCCTCTTTTTTCTATTGATTGGAATAGTTTCAGAAGGAATGGTACCAGCTCCTCTTTGTATATCTGGTAGAATTCGGCTGTGAATCCGTCTGGTCCTGGACTTTTTTTGGTTGATAGGCTATTAATTATTGCCTCAATTTCAGAGCCTGTTATTGGTCTATTCAGAGATTCAACTTCTTCCTGGTTTAGTCTTGGGAAGGTGTATGTGTCCATGAATTTATCCATTTCTTCTAGATTTTCTATTTTGTGTAGAGGTGTTTATAGTATTCTCTGACGGTAGTTTGTATTTCTGTGGGATCAGTGGTAATATCCCCTTTACCATTTTTTATTGTGTCTATTTGATTCTAGCCATTGAAAAAATTTTAAACTATTATGGGATTGAGGTGGGGACATCTCTTTGATAAAGACAAAAGAGATTTATTCATTTTGAGTATGGATACTGGTTCGCTGATTGATTTGGTGGTGGATACATGATTAGATGATAATTGAATAATTATGTTTTCTCCGTCAATTATGAGGAACAAGCATCAGATAAATATCAGGAAAATTTAAGGTGTACTGGAAAGTTTAGAAGGAAATGAAGATATGTGAAACAGTCATTTGGCAGAGTGGGAAGTGAGTAATATACTGGGAAATAAAATAGTCTTGTTTGGACCATTGAGTAACACTTTAAGATATCTATTCACTAACTTAAAATTAGATCTGTCACAGTTACTATCTTCAGAAACAAGCAAGAATTTCTGCACACATATCAAAAATATTTTTAAGCAATTTATGAACAAAAAGATTATGTGTGTCTATAAGAGAGAGAGAACATATTTTAAAATATGAAATATTTTAAAACATAAAATATTTTAAATATTCTGAAATATAAAATGTAAATTAACTCGGTGGTAGAATATATTATATATAATATACATATTACATTATATAAATATATATAATCTATTATATTTTTTATTTTCTCAATACTTGAAAAAGCAGGTGTACTATATTATAAAAATGGAGGCAGAGGATTTCTCAATTATTTGTGCATTTCTTTGTAGTGGATTTAGTAACATACCCATTTCCTTTCCTGATACTAATTGTGATGTCAAAACATTTCAAGTTTTCAGCTGTGATGAGATGAAGATGAAAACACTATAGAAAAACGCTCAGCTACTTGCTAACTAGATTTGAATACAATGCTTTCCTTTGTAGTTGTTATTGGCCTAAGGCATAAAGTTATAGTGACTCTATCCCAAAGCCACAGGGTGTATATACATTTTTTTAAATTATGAGATTTGTATTTCTCAAGACTTGTGGAAGTTACCCTGTAAAATAGTTTTCCAATATCT
Source organism: Homo sapiens (assembly GCF_000001405.40). NCBI lineage: Eukaryota > Metazoa > Chordata > Mammalia > Primates > Hominidae > Homo > Homo sapiens. The sequence goes on along the minus strand of NC_000004.12, from coordinate 136,359,815 downwards.
TATGCCTCCATGTGGAAAATATTGGGTATTTTTCTGTTCGTGGTTTGTTTTATCTCTACTGTATTTCATGTTACAAAAATAATTTTTGTATTCTTTTATGTTAATAAAATGTTTATAATATACATGGACTTATTAATTCAATGATTAGAATCTTCTTAATTTAAAGCCATTATTAGACATCTTTCTCATAAGTAAGCCTGGAGTTACATGAAGGAGCCTGGAATATTTTGTACCTCAGTTGAAATACATTACATTTAAAATTATTTTATAAAAGAATGACAAAGGCTGGGCACCAGGGCTCATGCTTATAATCCAGCATTTTGGAAGGCTGAGGCAGGAGAATTGCTTGAATCCAGGAGTTCAAAACCAGCCCGGGCAATACAGGGAGACCTCATCTCTATAACTTAAAAAATATTACCCAGGTGTGATGGCATGCACCTGTGGCCTCAGCTACTTGTGAGGCTGAGGCAGGAAGATCTTTTGAGCCTGGGAGGCTGAGGCTGCAGTGAGCCATGATCATGTCACTGCACTCCAACCTTGGGCGACAGAACAAGAACCAGTCTCAAAATAAAATAAAATAATGGCAATAACCAATACACAAACACACACACACACACATAATTTTTTTCTATGCTTTTGCCTATTTTACCTCTATGTAAAATAAGCTTAGCAAATTGAACAATTTTTAACAATATTTAATTTATTTTATCTTCAAAATTGATTTTGTTGATTTATTAAAGTATGAAGACCTCATTTAAGAGACTTACCTGAATAAAGATGACTAAGAGTGTGGACAGAAGTATGGAAGTACAAGACAATATATTTTATTAGTTAGGAGTGTAATTCTCAACCTTTTCAGTTTGTCTCCTTCCTTTTCCCCCACAATACAACTTACTGTGCTTAAAAATAATTTTGAAACAATTTCAGTAACATAATCTTATAGTTTCAGTGTTATATATATAGTAGGCATATTTTCACTACTACTACTAATTTAAAATTTGCACTCAATTGTATTTAGTAGGTAACCAGTTCAAACTGGCAAAGAGTTAATGAGGAAGATTCTTTATAGGCGAATATCTAAATGAGGTAAAGAAGATAGATATCTTGCTGTTATTTAAAACATTGTAAGTTGATTCTATTAGGTCCTTAAAATATGCTTTACTAACATTGAAAGTTCTTTTTAAAAGCATTATTTTCATATGCCGAAACTCTCTTTAATAACTTGCACACTGATCTTTGGCTGTATGTCAGCACAAATGACAAAGTCAAGTGAATAATAATAGAAAGAGTCTCTATTGATTGGTATCTAGGACAGTGAGACTATTATTGGAATCTATATAAATCATCTTCTCCTAAACTAATGTATGTCTTAGAGCTATAGACAACTTGATAAAAGCTAACTTTAAGAGAAGACATTTTCTGTGTGTCCTTGATGGTATAACTGGTAGTCTAGTTATCACAAAATAATAATGACAATGTTTTGAATATATAAAAAATTATGAATAATGAATTTTGGTTTTAGTTTTTTATAGTATCTTGAAAATAGGAACATGTAATTTATTTTTCTGATTTTTTAGGAACAATTTTTTGTGTCTTATCTAATCCATAATCACATATTTTGAGACATTATATTTTATACCTTTTACATAATTGAATGATGAGGATTAATCTTTCACCAAAATTATTCTTCCTTTGTATTCTCAGTCAGTATTTATTATAAAATTAATCATTATCGAGGTGTGAACTTTAGCTCAGTCTCAATTAGAAGTTTAAAATATTCCTTCATTTTCTGATACAGTGGTCATATAGCATAGTTTTTGTCAATAGTTATAAAAGGAAGTTTCACACGACAATATTTCTGGAATGTATTTAGTTTCCTGGTAACAAAGGCAGATGAACAAGAATATTCCAGTTTTTCAGCCTTTTCACCTATTCTTCCAGCTTATTTTATCCTACAGACAAACATTCTGAATTATTAAAAAAGAAACATATAAAGTAAAATTTAATAACATAATTTAAAAAGCAAGGTTCTTAATAACTTCTTTGGCACTGTGCCAAATATGACATTTCCTATCTTGTGATCTCTAATTATGTAAAACTATTAAATGCCTTTAATATCTGCAATGGTGAGTACTCTGTTATTTGTAACCAAAATCATTTGTAACTGATACTATTTAAATCTCAGGCCTGACCTCAAAACAATAGATAAGAATTTTCTTTAGAATATAACTTGACCATTATGGAGGATTGTGAAAGAAAGATTCATAGAAGATACAAAATGATTAAGTAGGCGATCAAATGATGATTTTTGAGCAAACTTTCAAGTTACAGTTCGTTTCATACTCTATACTCTTTCATAGGCAAGAGTAGAGAGGATGGCTCCCACTAAGTAGCAGTATGCTACGTGATTAAATGATAGCCTATAATTCCCTCAGATCAGCTTCAAGGTTGCCAAGGGCAATAAAAAAAAAAAAAAAACTTAGGAGAAAAAAACATGGAAGGGCACTACTGATGCCTGTGGAAAGCCACAAAGACTAAGCAAGCAAAAACAATTATTTATATGAATGTGTGAGTGAGAGATCTCCTGCAATGAAAGAGTTATTTTCTTAGGAATCCATAAAATGAATCCAGCCAGCACTCTGGTGCTAAGTCATGCTAACAATAGCAATCAAATTGAACGTTTCTTGGACTTTATTTCACTTTCTTGTTCAATTCACCTTTAGATGGCTGTGGGCAATCTATTAAATGAGAGAATACTAGTTTTCTCCTACTGCCTTAAAGTACTATAAATTTAAAAGCTTAAAATGGTACCAATTTGTTATCTTGTTTGCAGATCAACAGTATGATATGGCCTCTTTGGGCTAAAATTGAGGTGTTAGCCGGACTGTTTTTTATTTTTTATTTATTTTAATTTTTTCTGGAGGCTGTATGGGAGAAGCAATTTTTTCTTCCAGCCTCTATTCTGCATTCTTTGGCTCATGGCTTCCTTTTTCCATTTTTAAAGCCAACAACGTTGTATCTCTTTAGTCCTTCTTCCATCTTTAACTTTACCTCTTTCTAACTCTCTCTCTTTCTCTCTGTCCACAGTCAGAGTTTACAAAGTCACAGTTTACAAAAATGCTAAACCTTTACAATTTTTATAAAGTGATTACAGTTGAACTCCTGAAAATACACACTAAGGTATAACATAAGGAAAGAAATGTTAAGGCCAAGATATTTTCCTATTAACGATATGATTTAGACATTTGGATAAATGTACTTATCATTATTAAATGCATATTAATCTATTTAATTTGCCACAGCCTTAACTTTGCATAATATAGTGCAAAATCTATACTGATATAAAGAGAAATTCGTGGCTCAAAAACTCAACCAGTTTTTTGTTTTTTTTTTTTTTTTACAAAAAAACTTACAAAAGCTTAGAGAATCGAACTTTGTGGAAAAATAGGTGTAGTTTAAAAAATCATGCCTGATATTGGGCCCCGAGCCCGCGGGGTTGTGCGGCTGGTAGGGATGCCGACCCTACCGAGGAGCAGATGGCAGAAACAAAGAGCAACGACGAGGAGCAGTTCGAGTGCCAGGAACTGCTCGAGTGCCAGGTGCAGGTGGGGGCGCCCAAGGAGGAGGAGGAGGACCCCGGCCTGGTGGCCGAGGGCAAGGCCATGGGCTGCCGGCTGGATGTTCGATTTCCTCTGCCTCTCTCTTTGCGGAGCTTTCCGCGAGGGCCGCTCCGAGGACTTCCGCCGGACCCGCAACAGCGCAGAGGCTATTATTCATGGGCTATCCAGTCTAACAGCTTACCAGTTGAGAACAATATACATATGTCAGTTTTTGACAAGAATTGCAGCAGGAAAAACCCTTGAGGCACAGTTCGAAAATGATGAACGAATTACACCCTTGGAATCAGCCCTGATGATTTGGGGTTCAATTGAAAAGGAACATGACCAACTTCACGAAGAAATACAGAATTTAATTAAAATTCAGGCTACAGCTGTTTGTATGGAAAATGGCAACTTTAAAGAAGCAGAAGAAGTCTTTGAAAGAATATTTGGTGATCCAAATTTTCATATGCCTCTCAAAAACAAATTGCTTATGATAATCTCTCAGGAAGATACATTTCATTCCTTTTTTCAACACTTCAGGTACAACCACATGAGGGAGAAAATTAAGAGTTATGTGAATTATGTGTTAAGTGAAAAATCATCAACCTTTCTAATGAAGGCAGCAGCAAAAGTAGTAGAAAGTAAAAGAACAAGCACAGTAACTTCTCAAGATAAACCTAATGGTAATGATGTTGAAATGGAAACTGAAGCTAATTTGGATACAAGAAAAAGTCTCACAAGAATCTTTTCTTATCTAAGTTGCAACATGGAACCCAGCAACAAGACCTTAATAAGAAATAAAGAAGAGTAGGAACTCTTCAAAGTACAAAAAAGAAAAAAGAAAGCAGAAGAGCCACTGAAAGCAGAATACCTGTTTCAAAGAGTCAACCGGTAACTCCTGAAAAATATCGAGCTAGAAAAAGACAGGCATGGCTTTGGGAAGAAGACAAGAATCTGAGATCTGGCGTGAGGAAATACGGAGAGGGAAACTGGTCTAAAATACTATTGCATTATAAATTCAACAGCTGGACAAATGTCATGTTAAAAGACAGATGGAGGACCATGAAGAAACTAAAATTGATTTGCTCAGACAGCGAAGACTGTGTTTGTAAAAGCTTGATGAAAGGACAGTTAAGTATTTTGATCTCTGCATTTTATTTGAAACTTGTGTCATTGATGTATTTTAAAACTTTTGTTTAGAGCATTACAGTATTTTTCTGTGACCATCAATTAATATGAGGGTTTGTGCTATAAAAGTTAAAGCATATGCTATCATTGTATTCTTTAAGAATCTTATTTTGATAAAATGTAAATTTGTTGAACCCTGCCACATTTAGTATCCCCACCCCCAAATCCTGTTCCAATGAAAAAATTAAAACCTGATACGAAAAAAAAAATTCAGTTAACCTATTTTGTGTCTGTAGGCTGACCTCAACCCTGTAACATAACCCATTAAAATGAATTTTCTTTTTTTTTAAGACAAGAGTTTCTCTCTGTTGCCCAGGCTGGAGTGCAGTGGCGCAATTTCAGCTCACTACAACCTCTGCCTCCGGGTTCAAGCAATTCTCCTGCCTCAGCCTCCTGAGTAGCTGGGATTACAGGCACACACAACCACGCCCAGCTAATTTTTGTATTTTTAGTAGAGGCGGGGTTACACCATGCTGATCAGGATGGTCTCGAACTCTTGACTTCATGATCCACCCACCTTGGCCTCCCAAAGTGCTGAGATTACAGATGTGAGCCACTGCGTCCTTCCTAAAATGAATTTTCTAGATGATTGAATAACAGTAGTCCTTTGATAGGAGATAATGACTTGGTTTATGGCCTTAATATACTACTTACTTACTTAAGATGTTTATTAATAGAATGATAAATGTACAGAGTAACCTATAAGCATGACATACTTTTGCTTTCAGTAGTTTCATGTAAAGAAAAAAACTTGAAAATAGTAATACCTGAGGACCCATGGGAATAATAGACACTGGGGAGGTAGGGAGGGGAGCAGGAGCAAGAGCTGAAAAACTACCTACTGGGGACTCTGCTCACTACCTGGGTGACAGGATCATCCGTGCCCCAAACCTCAACATCACACAGTATACCCAGCTAACAAACCTGCCCATGTGTTCCCTGAATCTGAAATAAAAATTTAAATAATTTTTTTTAAAAAGAAAAAGACAATAGTATTACCCATGGGACAAAATTTGTACTATTAGCAAGAATCATTTTGTGTCTCATTTAGAAACAATTTGACTTTTGTTCCAGTGTTTAAACTTTGACAAAAATGGTTTTGAATAGATCTTTATAACCTGATACCATAAATAAAAGATTCTCTGATACCTTCATTTAATATATCAATATTGGGCCTAAAACAGTATTCTCTAAAGCTTAAATTGTTATTAACTATGATCTTCTTGATATCTATGATAGATAATAAACAAGATCATACATACCTTACTAAACAATTTTGGTTTTTCACCAACATTTTATTCTTTAAAAATTTAGACTAACAGAATTATTTAGCATTTTGAGTCATGTGCTTTATTTATCAAGTGAGTAAAAATATTGTACTATTGAAGTATTTGCATAAAAAATCAAATGGTAGTGTTTTGTAATCTCTATTGTATTTCCTATTAAGGTTTTATATATTACTTTCCCATTGTTCCTGAATTTGTTATCCTGTATATAAACAGAAACATGGATGAGTTAAAAAAAATCATGCCTGATATTGTGTAAGATGTTAAGATAAACAGGCTTTTTGTTGTATGGGGATTCTTTAGTATTTTCACTTTTTTTTTTTTTTTTTTTTGAGAAGGAGACTTGCTCTGTTGCCAGGCTAGAGTGCAGTGGAGCGATCTCGGCTCACTGCAAGCTCCGCCTCTCTGGTTCACACCATTCTCAAACTTTTCTATAAATGTAAAAGTATACAAAAATAAAAAGTTTACTGCAAATGTAAAAGAAACAAGTAGAATTAATGATGTAGATATTAAAATATCTATAAAAGAATGAGTTTAGCATGGTACTGGTACCAAAACAGAGATATAGATCAATGGAACAGAACAGAGACCTCAGAAATAATGCTGCATATCTACAACTATCTGATCTTTGACAAACCTGAGAAAAACAAGCAATGGGGAAAGGATTCCCTATTTAATACATGGTGCTGGGAAAACTGGCTAACCATATGTAGAAAGCTGAAACTGGATGCCTTCCTTACACTTTATACAAAAATCAATTCAAGATGGATTAAAGACTTAAACGTTAGACCTGAAACCATAAAAACCCTAGAAGAAAACCTAGGTATTACCATTCAGGACATAGGCATGGGCAAGGACTTCATGTCTAAAACACCAAAAGCAATGGCAACAAAAGCCAAAATTGACAAATGGGATCTAATTAAACTAAAGAGCTTCTGCACAGCAAAAGAAATTACCATCAGAGTGAACAGGCAACCTACAAAATGGGAGAAAATTTTCGCAACCTACTCATCTGACAAAGGGCTAATATCCAGAATCTACAATGAACTCAAACAAATTTACAAGAAAAAAACAAACAACCCCATCAAAAAGTGGGCAAAGGACATGAACAGACATTTCTCAAAAGAAGACATTTATGCAGCCAAAAAACACGTGAAAAAATGCTCACCATCACTGGCCATCAGAGAAATGCAAATCAAAACCACAATGAGATACCATCTCACACCAGTTAGAATGGCAATCATTAAAAAGTCAGGAAACAACAGCTGCTGGAGAGGATGTGGAGAAATAGGAACACTTTTACACTGTTGGTGGGACTGTAAACTAGTTCAACCATTGTGGAAGTCAGTGTGACGATTCCTCAGGGATCTAGAACTAGAAATACCATTTGACCCAGCCATCCCATTACTGGGTATATACCCAAAGGACTATAAATCATGCTGCTATAAAGACAAATGCACACGTATGTTTATTGCGGCATTATTCACAATAGCAAAGACTTGGAACCAACCCAAATGTCCAACAATGTTAGACTGGATTAAGAAAATGTGGCACATATACACCATGGAATACTATGCAGCCATAAAAAATGATGAGTTCATGTCCTTTGTAGGGACATGGATGAAATTGGAAATCATCATTCTCAGTAAGCTATCGCAAGAACAAAAAACCAAACACCGCATATTCTCACTCATAGGTGGGAATTGAACAATGAGAACACATGGACACAGGAAGGGGAACATTACACTCTGGGGACTGTTGTGGGGTGGGGGGAGGGGGGAGGGATAGCATTGGGAGATATACCTAATGCTAGATGTCGAGTTAGTGGGTGCAGCACACCAGCATGGCACATGTATACATATGTAACTAACCTGCATATTGTGCACATATACCCTAAAACTTAAAGTATAATAATAAATAAATAAATAAATAAAAATAAAAAATAAAAAAAAGAATGAGTTTAATAAAATATGAAGTAAAATTTGGGAGATTGTTTGTGTGTGTGTGTGTGTGTGTGTGTGTGTGTGTGTGTGTTTGAGACGGAGTCTTGCGCTGTCGCCCAGGCTGGAGTGTAGTGGCGCCATCTGGGCTCACTGCAAGCTCCGCCTCCTGGGTTCATGCCATTCTCCTGCCTCAGCCTCCCGAGTAGCTGGGACTACAGGCGACCACCACCACCCCTGGATAATTTTTTCTATTTTTAGTTGAGACGGGGTTTCACCATGTTAGCCAGAATGGTCTCCATCTCCTGACCTAGTGATCTGCCTGCCTCGGCCTCCCAAAGTGCTGGGATTACAGGCCTGAGCCACTACGCCCGGCCAAATTTGGGAGATATTAATTTATGATTTGGTAGTCAAGCTTACATCAAAGTTGATCTTAAATGTAATTCCTTTTATCAGTTCAGAAAACGATGACTCACTTCTTAGAATAATTTGAGTTTACTTAGATTATTTCAATGCTTTGTTATAAAATTTCTTCGGTAACCAGGGCCTTTAATCTGTGAACTTTTGTTCATTTAGGTAAAGACAGATCTGATATTTTCTTATTCAGTAATAAGAATTATATAAATGTTACTAAATCGGTGATTACAAATAATAAAATTACAATGATTCAGACTATACATCTTATAAGTACACTGGTCCAATTATATATATATATTTTTTCTCACTGAATTGACTTTGATCCTTATGGTGACTAAATTTTTTATGTGTGCAGACACAAATTTTATTTTATGCCACAATAAAAATATCTATGTAATTTTTACTATATAATTAACAAATGATCAATTAATTACTGGCTATTATATGGTGCTGAATGTTTATGTTAGTACTTATACTCTTAGGGAATTATATGCTTTAATTAAAATATATGCATTACCTGCTTTCCAGGAGCCTCATATTCTGCATGAGGAGACATGATTAACACATCAACAATTGGAGAGAAATATACCAAATTAGATTACTAATTAGAAACTATGAACTACAGAATAATAAAGTGATAATTTAGCCAAGAGAGAATAATGTGAAATAAAATAATTGGGGAAATATTTATGAAACATATGATAATTTAGATAAATCCTGAAAGAAAATATTTGGAAAAATAAAGAGAAAAGGAATAATGATAGGTGGGGGAGAATGTGTAACATTTAACAAAGATACAAAATAATAATGATAAGGATGTATTTAGATTGCAAATAAAAAATGTTTTTTGACCATATAGAGAGGAACTTTGAGGAATAAGAATGATTAAGCGTTATAGTACCACATAATAGATGGTCTTTAGTTGATTCAACAAATAAAATGGTTCATAAGTGCAATAAGTTTAGTCAAAATATTGCATCAGAAGTATTGTGGTGGAATCTTTTTTTGTTGTTAATACATAGTAATTGTATGTATTTATGAGGTGCAAGTGGTCATTTGTTATATGAATACAATGTAGAATGGTGAAGTCAGGGTAATAAGGATATCCATCATCTCAAATATTTTTCATTTCTTTGTGTTGGGAACATTCTAAATTTTCTCTTCTAGCTATTTTGAAATATACAATAATTATTGGTAACTATAGTCACCCTATAGTGCTATTGAACACTAGAACACATTCCTTCTATCTAACTGTATTTTTGTGTCAATTTACCAACCTGTCTTTATTCCTACCTCCCCCACTACCTTTCCTCACCTTTGGTAACCACCATTGTATTCTATATCTCCATGAAATTAACTGTATTTTAGTCCCACATATGAGTGAGAACATGCAATATTTGCCTTTCTGTCCCGGTTTATTGCACTTAACATATCCTCCAGACTCATCCATGTTACTGCAAATGATAGAATTTCATTCATTTTTTTGTGACTGAATAATATTTCATTGTGTATATATACCCATATGTTTGTTTCCATTGTAAAGACTTAGTATTTAACACATCAGAGAAATACAATATTGCAACTAAGTCATACCATTTCGAATGACAGAAAGTTTTTAAAAAATTATAAAGTAAATATTACAATATTAATAGGATTATTTTCTCCTTTATTCCTTCAGAAGAGTGCAACCTGGTGATTGTAATTCTGATTTGTGTTCTATTTCCACGCAAAACAACATATATAGAAAGGTTAATAAAATCACACAATTCTTATGTGCTTTTAAAAGTATTGTATATAAAGCCAGTGTCCAAGTTATCTTTGCAATATGTTATAAATATTAAAATTGTCATGAGGCTATTTAGTACTTTATTGATTTACAATCGAACCAAGTGTCACATTAATTGAAATTCCAGATGAAATTCTTCTAATTTAACTCAAAAGTCTTTTAAAATAAAGGTTTCAATGATTAAAATGCATAGGTCATTTCTCTCTAGGATGTAGAAAATTGAAAAGAATATTACTCTGCACCTTGAAACAAAAAAAAAAAAAGCAGAATGACATGCAAAATCAGTACTATTCTTAAAGCTGACAGAAAGCTGACGTCCCAGAGCAACCAATGGCCAGGCACAAGCAGTGACTCCGGGGACATAACGTGGTAGAACATAGTGTAAGGCCACTCTAAGAGTAGGCAAGAAGAAATCAGATACACTTTAAACAAATTGCTAAAGGCCAGGTGTGGGACAGTGGGACAGTATGAGACCCCTGAGAGCGCCAGACAAAAGAGCTCTTTGCAGATCATTTTCTCATGAATGTCCACCTAGTATTCATGGAAAAGACACAGGGAAGAAGAAATATCCAGAAAGCCTCTGTCAGTGGTGCAGGTGTGAAGGAACAATGCCTGCAGCTGAGAAAGGGACATGACCTCAGCCTTACCTGGAAGCTTCTCTCATAGAGTAAGAGAAAAAAATAAAAAATAAACAACTATAACCCTGCCATTGGAGAAGTGACAGAGAACAACAGTCCTAGGCCCAGGACCTATAACAGTAACACTGCAAGTCACTGCAGGGCACCAGAGTAGCAACAAATCCCAAACCCTTCTCAATACCTCACTGTACCGACTCAATGAAGCCCAACTCTCTCCCACTTAGTGGTCCAGATGAGGTCAACTCCAGGTGCTGAGTAGGCCGTGTTTGGTGAGAGAGAATTAAAAATTGATGATTAAACACTGTATAGAGTCACAAATTAAATATTGTAATTATTTATTTATATTAGTTTTAAAAATAGATAAATTTTGGCTGGGGGGCAGTGGTTCACGCCTATAATCCCAGCACTTTGGGAGGCCGAGGCAGGTGGATCACCTGAGGTCGGGAATTCGAGACCAGCCTGACCAACATGAAGAAACCCCATCTCTACTAAAAATACAAAATTAGCCAGGCGTGCTGGCACATGGCTGTAATTCCAGCTCAGTAGGCTGAGGGAGGAGAATCATTTGAACCCGGGAGGCAGAGGTTGAGGTTAGCCGAGATCGCTCCACTGCACTCCAGCCTGGGCAACAAGAGGGAAACTCTGTCTCAAAAACAAACAAAAAAACAAACAAGCAAATAAAAAAGGTAAATTTCTATGTGAATTTAAAAATTTGTGTTCAGACATTCTCACTTAAATGTTTTGTCATCTTCATTTTCCTAATGTCTTTAAAGACATGTAAAGAATCACTCCAGGGATTGCTATATATAGATATCTAGATTATATTGTCCCAGACTAGCTAGTGGACTAGTAATTCACCATTTAGTAAATTTATTCTAAATATGGCCATATTTTCATAGATGTGACTCAGATTAAATTTTCTTTTTGCCAATTGTGTGTGTGTGTTTGTGTGTGTATGTGGGTGTCTGTGTTTTGAGGAAGACTGCTAGCATAAAATTTCAAAATCTCAAATGTACCACTTTGCTCCTAAACACCATAAGGCTATTACTGTTTTCTAAAAGAGTATGAACAAGTTGTACTCCTACAGATTTTAGGCAGCCATATGAATAAAATTATGCCTTATATATTTGCAAAACCAATTACATAGCAAACTTCTACTAAATTATATTTTGTATCCATTGTCTTACAAGCAGTGGAACTCCATTCAAAATATACAGTACAATAAAAATATTATTTGGTGCATTACTGCATCAAATGTTTACCAGAAAAAAAGTGTTACATTTACAAAGGAACTTGTTATATCAAGGATACATCAGTTCCTTATATTTTCTAAGGTGAGTATAAGCACCAGAACCAGAGGCCTTAGGCAAGTGTGATAGGTTATCTGCTGTAATTACAATCAGTAGTTAGTAGTGCTCATTTCAAGGTAGGTGCAATGTCTAATTTATTGGCAAGAGTGTAGGTGCTAATTTTGCTTGTAAATGAAAAGAACAAGTGTTTGCCAATTAAATCAAGCAGCTGCTTCACAGTCAGTAATACTAATAGCTACCAACAGAACCCTAAGCCATTACTCTAAATTGTTTAAGGAACTGCTTTTAATATGTAGTAAACTATAACCGTGATTCCTTAAAAATGTTGGGCTGGAATTTAGTTATTCAACTTTAATTGACCTCTCAATGGATCCCCTACAATTATTATAGTAGGGTAGAGCTAAGATTTAAAAACTACATTCAATATAGATTAACATACCAGTATACTAAATGCAGACATGCTGGATATACCTGTGATTTACATTCATATTTATAATCTTTTTTGTGTTCAGATTGTCTGCTATTCAGTTTAGGATGTTTTTACCTATCTGTTTTAGTTATAAAGAATACTACTAGGCTACTCATTCTTTTCTATTTATTGTTACCCAAATAACATCCTCAGTTGATGAAAATGATAGGAAACTATAAATGTAATCCCAATTTTCTGAGGCAAGTAACTGAGTATCACACATCTTGAAAACTGTATAGAATTATCTTTAAAATTTTATAATTTGTAAAATATTGAAAAGTTTGATGTCAGCCTATGTTCTGGTCCTAGGAAGGTTTCATTCTTTTGGAAGTATATTAAAGGTCCATCTACTGAGTCTAAAATAATAATGACTTCCTGTCAAAATGTGTGTCATAATTAGAACTATTAACTACTCTTGCATCATTACTTTACACCATCAACTTGAAAATGGAATTTTCAAATAGAGATTTTTAAAGCAAACAATACACAGATACATAGTGCACGACAACATCAAACAAAACTTGTCTTGGGGCATTTTTAGCTGGTACTTGGAAGCACCATCTTTTATATGGTGTCCATAGTAAAAGTCTGTCAGTTTCTATGTGGCATCCATGATGAAACAATGCATTTCAAACAAATATAATTTTTACTGTCACCATATTTAAGATTATTCTTGGCAAAAGTCAAGCATCTGTAGTCATAAAACTGAATATAACCAAATATAAGTTCAATCTACAACACATACAGAATTGTTGACAGCTATATTAGGTAAACACAAGAAGTAAACATTTCATAACATATAGTTAAGTTTAGCTGACTAAATATTTTGTCTGTTTAGAAATTACACAGTATAGGAATTAAAGAATGTAAATATGTTTCAATTTTTAACCAAAAATAGTTACTTAGAGAGTGTTACTGGAAAGTTATCAAGGAGGATCATAACAATCTCTCTTAGCAGCAAGTTAGGTGACTTTTATTATATTATTTTATTATAAGCTTTGAAAAATTGTCAAAGCTTAGAATTTTATAACTTTTTTCAGTAGTTACAAAGCACAATGACTAAAGGTGATATAATATTTCTAATAGCATTAAAACATGGATATGAAGAAAAGATTAAGATAATTCTGATTATGGTATGACCATACTAAAATAATGTTAAATAGTATATCTACAAGGAATTTTTTTGAAATGTTAAAACTGTTACGCATTCTTCTATATTTATAATATAGATATCGCTTGAAAATATTTTGTCTATATGAAGATTGGGAATAGCTCATAGATGAAAATTGTGCAGAGGTATATTATTTTTCTATTGCTATGTAATAAATTACCAACATTTTAGCAGCTTAAAAGAGGAAAATATTACCTTGCAGTATCTGTAGATCAGAAGCCAAGCAGCACACAGTTGGGACGTCTCCTTAGGGTATCAAAAACTGACACCAAGAGGTTGGCATCATCTGACATCAGATTTCTCATCTGGAGGTTCTTTAGAAAATCCACCTCCGCATTGAATTCAGTTGCTTGCCTTTGTAGGACTGAGGTCTCCTTTTCCTTTCTGACTGTTACCTAAGGACCACTCACGGGTTCTAAAGGCCAACTGCATTATGTGCCACAAGGCCCCCTCCATCTTTAAGCCGGCAAGGTTGCGTCAATTTTCTCCTTTCTTCTGTCTCTGGCCCAGATTTAAAGAGATTGTTTGATTAGGTCAGGCTCACCCAGATAATCTCTCTACTGTTAGGTATATCAATTTGGGAATTTAATTTACGTCTTCAAAATTGCTTCACAGCAGTTCCCAGACTACTCTTTCATTGAATAATTGGACAAAAGTGGTATAGAGACCTGAAAATATTTGAGACCATCTCCAAATTCTGTCTATAATAAGAGGCAACTCTATTTATTCCAAAGTGAATTATTTGGTGAAAAGAAATAAACCTACCTCAAGAAAATGTTATGATATTCAGGGAAGAAAATAATGACTAAACTCTATATATTTTTACTTTTTAGAAAGTAATAAGTAGTCTCTTAAACTGACATAATTTGAAGCATGAGTGGCTATCACAGAAAAGGGATTGTTCTGGGCTGTGCCTTTAGAGCCTAGTCAGAATTTTGGGAATATTTTAATTAAAGGATGGCATTTCTTTTTTTTTTTTTTTTTTTTTACTATATCTGTCTTCTTGGATGCGACTACAGAACAAGACTGAACAATGTGGTCTCTTTATTAATTCAGTTAAATGTGTAATGAATATGACCCTGTCAAGGGGTAACTTCTTCTCATCATATTGAGTATGAAGGAAATGCATAGAGAGAACCTTGGTTGGGTTAGCATGAATTAGTGTCAAACGCATCCATTTCTTCTGAGCAGTTTGTTGACATAGTTTAAAACACATTTCTGAAGATGAAATCTTATGTTTTCTCCTATCTGAAAATCTGTGATCTCATATTTCATTGTTATGTAATACATGTGCACATTTATTTGAACTGAGTTTAAGTGTTTTGTAAACAGTCTTCTTATTGGATCCAGGACTTTTTTACCTCTTCACAATCAAGCTAAGAATGGTTGAAAGTGTAATGAGGCTGATTTTCAGGAGTGAACAGAGTGGACAACAAATCTTGCTGAATTTCCATTCAATTTACATAATTGAAATTACTGAGTCTTTCAAGATTTTTGTTTTTGTTGTTGTTGTTGAGACACGGTCTTGCTCTGTTGTCCAGTTTGGAGTGCAGTGGCAAGATCACGGCTTACTTCAGTCTTGACCTCATAGGCTCAAGTGTTCCCCTCACTTCAGTTCCCCAAGTAGCTGGGGCAATAGGTGCGTGCCACCATGTGCTTTTTTTGTTTGTTTGTTTGTTTTATAAATGGGATTTTACTGTGTTGCCCAGACTTGTCTCACACTCCTGGGCTTGAGCAATCAACCCACGTTGGCCTCCCAAAGTGCTTGGATTACTGACACGCACCACTCAACCCAGGCAAGATTTTTTTTTTTAACTTTTATTTTAGAGTCAGGGTTACATGTACAGGTTTGTTATATAGGTAAATTGTGTGTCACAAAGTTTGGTGTACAAATTATTTCATCATTCAGGTAATAAGAACAGTACCCAAAAGGTAGTTTTTCTATCCTTTCCCTTCTCTCACATCACCCTGAAATAGACCCTGGTGTCTGTTGGTCCCTTCTTTGTGTCCATGTGTTCTCAATGTTTAGCTCCCATTTATGAATGAGAACACGTGGTGTTTGGTTTTTATTTCCTGCCTTAGTTGCTTAGGATAATGGCCTTCAGCTGCATCTTGTTGCTGCAAAGAACATTATTTCATTCTCTTTTATGCCTGTGTAATATTCCATAGTGTATATATTACCACACTTTCTTTATCCAGTCTATCATAGATGAACATTTAGGCTGATTCCATGTCTTTGCCATTGTGAACAGTGCTGTGATGAACATAGACGTGCATATGTCTTTGGCAGAATGATTTATATTCCTTTGGGTATATACACAATAATGTAATTGCTGGGGAGAATAGTAATTCTGTTTTAAGTTCTTTGGGAAATTACCACACTGCTTTTCACAATGACTGAACTAATTTACATTCCAAGAAGCAGTGTATGTGTGTTTTTCCTCTGCAACCTCAACAGCATTTAATATTATTTGACTTTTACTAATAGCCATTCTGACTGGTATGAGATGGTATCTCATTGTGGTTTTGATCCGCATTTATCTAATGATTAGTGATGTGGAGCATTTTTTCATTTGCTTGTTGGCCACGTATATATCTTCTTTTGAGAAGTGGCTGTAAATGTTCTTTGCCCATTTTTTTAAATGTTTTTTTTCTTTTTTGCTTAATTTTTTAGAGTTCCTTATAGATTCTGGATATTACACCTTTGTTAGATGCATAGTTTGCAAATATTTTCTCTCATCCTATAGGCTGTCTGTTTATTCTGTTGATAGCTTCTTTTGCTGTGCAGAAGCTCTTTCTTTAAATTAGACCCGCTTGTCAATTTTGTTTTTGTTGCAATTGCTTCTGGCATCTTTGTCATGAAATCTTTGCCACTGCCTATGTCCAGAATAGTATTCCCTAGGTTATTTTCTTTGATTTTTAAATTTTTAGGTTTTACATTTTAAGTCTTTAACCCATCTTGAATTAATTTTGGTATATGGTTTAAGAAAGGAGTCCAGTTTAAATCTTCTGCCTGTGGCTACCCATTTATTCCAGCATCTTTTATTGAATAGGGCATTCCTTCCCTGTTGTTTGTTTTTGTTGGCTTTGTCGAAGATCAGCTGGTTATAGTTGTGTAACATTATTTTGGGGCTCTCTGTTTGTTTCCATTGGTCTATGTGTCTATTTTTGTACCACTACGATGTTGTTTTGGTTACTGTAGACTTGTAGTACAGTTTGAAGTTCGGTAACATAATGCCTCCAGCTTTGTTCTTTTTTCTTAGGATTGCCTTGGCTGTTCAGGTTCTTTTTTGGTTCCATATGAATTTTGAAATAGTTTTTTTGGAATTCTGTGAAGAATGTTGTTGGTAATTTGATAAAAATAGAATTGAGTCTGTAAATATCTTTGGGCAGTATGGACATTTTAACAATATTGATTCTTCCTATCCATCGGCACGAAGTACTTTTTTCCATTTGTTTGTGTTATCTCTGATTTCTGTAACCAGTGTTGTGTTTTTTTGTTTTGTTTTGTTTTGTTTTGTTTTGTTTTGAGACGGAGTCTCGCTGTCGCCCAGGCTGGAGTGCAGTTCGTCCAGGCTGGAGTGCAGTTCGTCCAGGCTGGAGTGCAGCGGCGCAATCTCGGCTCACTGCAGGCTCCGCCCCCCGGGGGTTCACGCCATTCTCCTGCCTCAGCCTCCCGAGTAGTTGGGACTACAGGCGCCCGCCACCTCGCCCGGCTAATTTTTTGTAGTTTTTGTAGAGACGGGGTTTCACTGTGCTAGCCATGATGGTCTCGGTCTCCTGACCTCGTGATCCGCCCGCCTCGGCCTCCCAAAGTGCTGGGATTACAGGCGTAAGCCACCGCGCCCGGCCAGCAGTGTTTTGTAATTCTCATTGTAGAGATATTTTTACCTCTCTGATTAGCTGTATTTCTATTTTATCGTTTTGTGGCTATTATGAATGGGATTGCATTCTTGATTTGGCTCTCAGCTTGGATGTTTTTGGTGTATAGAAATGCTACTGATTTTTGTACATTGATTTTGTATCCTAAAACTTTGCTGAAGTTATCAGATCTAGGAGCTTTTGGGCAGAGGCTATAGGATTTTCTAGCTATAGAATTATATCATCTGCAAATACATAGTTTGACTTCTTCTGTTCTTATTTTGATACATTTTATTTATCTCTTTTTTTTATTATACTTTAAGTTTTAGGGTACATGTGCACATTGTGCAGGTTAGTTACATATGTATACATGTGCCATGCTGGTGCGCTGCACCCACTAACTCGTCATCTAGCATTAGGTATATCTCCCGATGCTATCCCTCCCCCCTCCCCCCACCCCACAACAGTCCCCAGAGTGTGATATTCCCCTTCCTGTGTCCATGTGATCTCATTGTTCAATTCCCACCTATGAGTGAGAATATGCGGTGTTTGATTTTTTGTTCTTGCGATAGCTTACTGAGAATGATGATTTCCAATTTCATCCATGTCCCTACAAAGGACATGAACTCATCATTTTTTATGGCTGCATAGTATTCCATGGTGTATATGTGCCACATTTTCTTAATCCAGTCTATCATTGTTGGACATTTGGGTTGGTTCCAAGTCTTTGCTATTGTGAATAATGCCGCAATAAACATACCTGATTGCTCTGGCTAGGAATTCCAGTACTATGTTAAATAGGAGTGGTAAGAGAGGGCATCCTTGTCTTGTTTTGCTTCTCGAGGTGAATGCTTCCAGCTTTTGCTCATTCAGCATGATGTTGGCTGTGGGATTGTCATAAATGGCTCTTATGATTTTGACATATATACCTTCAATGCCTAGTTGTTGAGGATTTTTAACATGAAAGAATGTTGAAGTTCATCAAAAGCCTTTTTTTTTTCATCTATTGAGATGCTCATGTGGTATTCCTTTTAGTTCTGTTTATGTGGTGAATCACATTTATTGATTTGCATCTGTTGAACCAGTCTTACATCCCAGGGATAAAGCCTACTTGATCATGGTGTATTAGCTTTTTGATGTGCTGCTAGATTTGGTTTGCTAGTATTTTGTTGAGGATTTTTACATCTGTTTATCAAGGATATTGGCCTGAAGTTTCATTTTTTGTTGTGTCTTCGCAAGGTTTTGGAATCAGGATAAACCTGGCCTCAGAGAATGAATTGAAAAGGAGTCTCTCCTTCACAATTTTTGGAATAGTTTCAGTAGAAATGGTATCACCTCTTCTTCATACATCTGGTAGAATTTGGCTGTGAATTCATTTGGTCCTGGACTTTTCTCTTTGGTAGGCTTTTTATTATTGATTCAATATTGGAACTCATTATTGGTCCATTCAGGGTATCAATTTCTGCCTGCTTCAATATTGGGAGGTTTATGTTTCCAGATATTTATCCATCGCTTCTAGCTTTTCTAGTTTGTGTGCATGGAGGTGTTCATATTAGTCTTTGAGTGATTTTTGTATTTCCGTGGGCTTAGTGGTAATGTCTCCTTTGTCATTTCTGATTGTGTGTATTTGGATCTTCTCCTTTAAACAAATAGTCTAGCTAGCAGTGTGTTTATCTTATTTTTCTCCCAACAAACAAACTCCTGGATATGTTGATGTTCTGTCTTTTTTGTGTCTCAACTTCCTTCAGTTCAGTTTTTATTTTTGTTATTTCCTGTATTCTGCTAGCTTTTGGGTTGGTTTGCTCTTGTTTCTCTAGTTCCTCTAGGTGTGACATTAGGTTGCTAATTTGACATCTTTTTGATATGGGCATTTAGCAGTATAAACTTTCCTCTAATTACTTCTTTAGCTGTGTCCCAGATATTCTAGTATGTTGTATCATTGTTTTTATCAATTTCAAAAAAATTATTAGTTTCTGTCTTAATTTTATAGTTTACCCAAAACTCATTCAGGAAGAGATTGTTTAATTTCCATCAAATTGTGTAGCTATGAGAAATTTTCTCAATGTTTATTTCTGTTCTTATTGCTCTGTGGTTCAAGAGTGGGTTTGGTATAATTTCAGTTTCTTTACATTTGCTGAGGATTGCTTTATGTCTGGATGTGTGGTTGATTTTAGAGGTTTTTTTTTTTTTAGAGTATGTGCTATGTGAAGGTAAGAATATATATTCTGTTGGTTTTGAGTGAAGTGTTCTGTGGATATCTGTTTGGTCAAGTGTCAACTTCAGGTCCCAAATACCTTTGTTAGTTTTCTGCCTCAATGATTTGTCTCATACTGTCAGTAGGGTGTTGAAGTCTATCACTATTATTGTGTGGTTACCTGAGTCTCTTCATACATCCCTAAGAAATTGCTTAATGAATCTGGGTGCTCCTGTGTAGGGTGCGTATATATTTAGGATTATTAGGTCTTCTTATTGGATTGAAACCTTTATCATTATGTAATGCCTTTCTTTTTCCTTTTTGATCGTTGTTGGTTAAAGGTTGTCTTTTCTGAAATTAGAATGCCAATCCCTGATTTTGTCTGTTTTCCACTTGCTTGGTAGATTTTTCTCCATCCCTTTACTTTGAGCCCATGGGTGTCTTTTCATGTGAGGTAGGTCTCTTGAAGACAGTACAGTGTTCAGTCTTGCTTCTTCATTCAACTTGTCATGCTCTGCCTTTTAATCGGGGAGTGGGGGGAACATTTAGTCTGTTTAAATTCAAGGTCAATATTGTTATTTGCAGGTTTGATCCTGTCATTTTGTTGTTAGCTGATTATTATGCAGACTTTATTGTGTGGTTGTTTCAGAGTGTCAATGGTATATAATCATAAGTCTGTTTTTGTGGTGGTTGGTAATGATCTTTCATTTTCGTATTTAGCACTTTCTTAAGTACCTCTTGTAAGGCAGTTCTGGTGGTGATAGATTCCCTTAGTATTTGCTTCTCCAAAAAGGATCTTATTTCTCCTTTTGTTATGAATCTTAGTTTTGCTGGATATTACATTTTTGGTTGGAGTGTCTTTTCCTCGCCAATGCTGAACATAGGCCCCCAATCACTTCTGACTTGTAGGGTTTCTGCTGAAAGGTCCACTGTTAGCTTAATGGGTTTTCCTTTGTAGGTGACCTGATCCTTTTCTCTAGCTGCCTTTAATGTCTTTTTTTTTTCCTTAATGTCAACCTTGGAGAATCTGATTATTATGTGTCTTGGGAATGGTCACCTTGGATATTATCTGACAGAGGTTCTCTGCAGTCGTGAATTTGAATATTGAATTTTCTTGCAAGGTTTGGGAAATTTTCAGGGACAGTGTCCTGAAATATGTTTTCCAAGTTGCTTACTCTGTCTCCCTCTTTTTCAGGAGCACCAATGTGTTATAGATTTGGTCTCTTTACCTAATCCATATTTCTTAAAGGTTTCATTTATTCTTTTTTATTTTTGTCTGATTTAGTTCAGAGAACCAGTCTTTGAGCTCTGAGGTTCTTTCTTCAGTTTGTTTTATTCTGCTATTAATTCTTGCAATTGTATTACAAAATTCTTATAGTGTTTTTCAGCTCTATCAGCTCAGTTAGGTTATTTATTATAATGACTATTTCATCTTTCAGTTCCTTTATCATTTTATTGTAATTTTTAGATTCCTTGAATCTTAATAATCTTTGTTTCTGTGCATATTCTGAGTTCTGTGTCTACAATTTCAGCCATTTCAGTCTGGATAAGAACCCTTGCTAGGGAAGTAGAGTTGTCATTTGGAGGAATGACAACTTTTAGTTGACTTTTAGTTGCCAGAGTTCTTATACTGGTTCTTTCTCTTCTTTTTGGACTGATGTTCCTTTAACTGTGGTGTATTTGAGTATAATACATTGACTTCATTTCTGGATGTGTTCAGAGGGCCAAAGCTTTGTTTAGGGTCTTTATTTGTAGCAGTATTTTTGTCCTTTGTTTCATGGGGAATATATTTGCAAAGTATTTTTGGGGTTGAAGTTTGGGCTGTGATCCAGTAGATGTTGCTTAAGTGTAATAGCTGGGAGATAGGCTCTTACTCATCCATGCGGCTCCTCCATATTTCATGTTTGCAGCTGTGCATCCTCTCAGTGCTCTGAAAGTGTCGATTCCTCTCCCACTTGAGTGTTGGCTGCAAATCTCAGTTTGGCACTCCCAGGCTGCACACCACAGTCCTAGGGTGAGCTCAGGCTTTATGTTTCTTCCCCATCTTGGAGGCAGCAGGGGAAGGGACCTTGGTAGTGCCTGTAGCAGAAGGCGTTTCACTTGTCTCTCGGGGCTCCACCCCAGAGAAATGTGGATCTGCTACCAATTGGTACAGTTGGCCCAGGGTTGGGTGGCTGTGTTGTGGAACCAAGCTGGGGGTCCCTGCCTGGTGACAAACAGTGGGGACAAGGGGCTCACAGGGGAGACAGACTAGCCTCCTCTTCTTAAAATCACTGTGGTTTGCTGGAGGTATGGGTAAAATTCTCAGGTTCTTTGTACCTTACCCAGCCCAAGGACAGTAAGAGCGGTACCACTGCAGTTGCAGTGGTAGAGGGACTGTGGGTTGTCTCTGAGATTTCTTCCCCAGAGAAATGCAAAGCCACCACACTCGAGTGTTCAGGCAGGGGGCAGGGTGGTTGTGCTGGAGGCCCTGGTTGAGTGGCCCTGCCCAGTGAGGCATAGCAGAGGCAGGGACCCATGTGGGAATCTGTCTGGCCTCTTTTCCATGAGGCAGCTGGGCTGTGCTGGGAGTATGTGTTAGTCTCTAGTCACCGTCCTCCCTCACAAGCCTGAATGCAACAGGAGTGAGGACTGTGGACCAGCAAAAATAATGGCCTGCATGCTATTTCCGGAAGCTCCATCCCTGGGAAGTGCAGAGCTGCTACCATCTCAAGAGCCCAGGTTGCTGATGGCTGGGGTCCCAGGTCAGGAGGCCCTGCCCAGTCAAAAGTAGCATGGGTGGAGCCACACAAGAAAAACAGTCTGGCTCCTTTTTCATAAGGCATCCTTGCTGTGCTGGAGGACCACATTAGTCTCTAATCACTGAGCTCCCTCCCAATCCTGAGGGCAACAGGAGTAAGGGCTGTGGAGCAGCAAAACTAGTGGTCTGCCTGTTACTTCTGGGAGCTCTGTCCCAGGAAAGTGCAGAGCTGATACTAGCCTGAGATCCCAGATAAGAGGTGCCTGGGGTTCCAGGTTGGGAGTCTCTGACCAGTGAGGAGTAGAGGGATGACGTCTCCTGTGGAAAACTGTTTTGCTGCTTTTCCATAAGACAGCTGCACTGTGCTGGGGGTCCGCATTAGTCCCTAATCATTGCTCTCCCTCCCAAGCCTGAGAACAACAGGAGTGAGGGCTGTGGAGCAGCAAAAATGGTGGTCTGCTTGCTTCCCTCTGGGAGCTACATCTCAGGGAAGTACAGAGCTCCTCCTGGCCTGAGAGCTCAGGTGGGGCTGGGGTGGACACGCTAGGGTCCCAGGCCAGTTGGCCTTGTTCAGAGAGGTGCAGTCCGGGAGAAACCTGGTGTTCATCTGCTGCTCAGTCCCCATGGATTCTGCCTCCATCCTGCGGATGTGCAAGGGAGCCTGGCCTCCCTCATTGCTGGATCTGCAGCTGCTTGTTCTGGGGGCTGTGGGTTGTCCTAGGGATCAAAGGGACTTTTCATGTGCTTGAGTGGCAGCTATACTGAGACTCCATGTAGCTCTCCATGTCAGTCTGGAGACCCCATTGCAGGGAGGATCATGGGGGATCTCCTGAGTTCAGGGTTGCAGAGGTCCATGGCAGAAGTGTGGGTCCCCAGTTCCTGTCACTCATTTACCATTTCCCCACAGTGAG
The DNA here is from genome assembly GCF_000001405.40 of Homo sapiens. Taxonomy (NCBI): domain Eukaryota; kingdom Metazoa; phylum Chordata; class Mammalia; order Primates; family Hominidae; genus Homo; species Homo sapiens. The sequence goes on along the minus strand of NC_000004.12, from coordinate 136,336,302 downwards.
GGGTCTCCCCTGGCTCTACACCACTTCTGGGTGGGTGGTTGGCGTATCTCTTCTCTGTTCTCTGTGGGTTGCATTGATTCCTCAATGAATCCCAGTGTGTCCACCTGGATGATCCAGTTAAAGAGCTAGTGTTTAACCACCACACTTTATTCTATTCATAAAAGTGGTGCACGCTAACTGCTTCTAGTAATTCAAGATTTTATACTTGGATGGGAAAGCCTGTAGTCTTAAGCTAATAGCTACATTGTAACCAAGTCTACACTCATACCACTTGCTGCATCACAGCCAATAAGTCAAGGGACAAGATATTGGAACAAGGAAAGCAACTTTATTCAGAAAGCCAGTAAACTGAGAATATGGCTGTCTAGTGTCCTAAAGAACCAACTTAAGTTTGTATAAACTTAGACTCCCTTAGGAGGGGATTAAAGAAATGACAATCAACTGCAGAAATGTGAGCACCAGCAAAGTTCTGAGGAAGTTGTGAAACTTTTTTATTCTTAGTCAGCTGACTTCAGATGACATAGATCAAGTCACCGTATTTCTATAAATCAGTTTTAAAAAGACAGGTGGATCCAAATTATTTCTACAAAATTGGGTCTTGTTCACATGGCTAAACTTTGTTTTCACTGATAGGTAAACCAATGAAGGCTGTGTACCAAAGTTTTGAGTAGCACATTTTCCATGTCAGTTTCATTTTTAAAAACCTCTTTTTCATCTTTTCTCCTTCAGTTTCAAATGTTTCCAATCTTTACATTTTAGATAGAACAGGCTGAACTATGTAAGAAAAACAAAATCTCAAAGTAGCCTTAAATTAGTAGTACTATAAACAGTGTGTTTTATCTCAACACCAGTAGCTTAATAGCAGCAGATTCAAAGCAGGCAAAAAAGGAAAGAGAAATAGAGAGCTTTACTTAACTCTATAGTTGCAGGTTGACCATTTGAGCTCTGAATTTTCCTTGCTATAATTTGCCTATCAGTTTTAAAATGTGCACAAGGACGGGCCATAATATGCAACCAGATGGAGTCCTAGAAAACCTGGCAAGATTTTGAACTTTCCCATGTTTTTTCACATGTATGCCACAAAAGTTTCTTTCCTAAGTGGGTCAGTTACCCATTGCACTCACCTGGTGAAGATGTGTCTTGCTGTGCCCTTAGTGTGGGTGTTCCCAAGAGTCAGTCATTCTAAGCCTCCCTCCACTGATACGTCATAACGATACATTTTAAGATCATTCTTTAGAGAGAGATTTGACCAGAGCCATCTGAAATTGACTTTTTTAAAAAAATAATTAACTTGATAAAAAACAAGATCTCATAAAATAAGATTAATTTAGATGATGCAGAGGAAAATTGAAGAAGAACAACAATAACAAAAATGGATGAGTTATAATAGTTTCTACATCCTATAGTAAAGTGAGAGAAAATAAAATATTCCTAGACATGAAAAACTAAATTTTTTGTATTTGTCCTAAACTCGATGAAAACACTGGTGTTCTATTGTCAGAAAACAAGCAAAAAAATTTTCTCCCTGCAAAATTTAAAATCCATGTATATACACATGTGTCTAAATATATGCATATATAACATATACATAAATATTAAAATATAGCATATATATGTATAAACAATTTTATATTCAATGGAATTCTGATTTGTAATAGAGATAATTTAATTTTTAATATTTGCCAAATTATACACATATCTCTCTTTTTATAGTATTAGCAGATGCATCAGTCATCTAATAAAAAGTTGATTTTTATCTCAGAGAACATTGCATCTCAGAGAATATTTTGCAGTGCTGATTGTTGATGCATTCTTGAATGTTACCTATAAAATTTAACAAGATAATTGTTTAGGCCTATATATTTTAATTACCATTAAGAATCAGCTAGAAACTTGTAACTTTATGCAAGTTTTTTCCCCCATGCATGACTAAGTCACGCACCCCACTCAAGCTTATCTTTAGTTAGTGAAGGTATACATCTTCGTTATAAACATAATGAAGGGTAGGCAAGATTTTAGATTATTTTCTTTTTGAAAAGCAAACATTTTATTATGGAAATTTCAAATGTATTAATATAAATGTAATTGTATAACCTGAAAAAGGTCTCACTCAAATGCCTGATACTTTGGCAAGGATGACTAGACACTTAGATGACAGAGATCAGCTGAGCAACTTTTTCTATCAATATAGTTGCAGGCTCTCTTCATGTGACCTCCCTAGAGTCAAAAACAAAACATTTATGAATGAATGAATTTTATTTTGTTTTATAATTTCAACTTTTATTATAGATTAAAGCAGTACAAGTGCAGGTTTATTACTGGTTATATTGTGTGATGCCGAAGTTTCAGTACAAATAATCTCGTTACCCTGGTAGTGAGCCTAGAACCCAGTAACCCAAAAGGTAGTTTTTCATCCCATGTTCTCTCTCCCCTCTCCCCCTTCTAGTAATCCTTAGTGCCTATTGTTCCCATCTTTATGTTGATGTGTATTCAATATTTAGCTCCCACTTATAAGTGAGAACATGAATTTTTTGGCTTTATGTTCCTGTGTTAATTCTCTTAGGATAATGGCCTCCAGCTGCATACATATTGCTGCAAAGAACATGATTTCATTCTCTTTTATGGTTGTGTAGTATTCCATGGTGCACATGTATCACATTTTTCTATCCTGTCCACTGTTGAAGGGCACCTACATTGATTCCATGTCTTTGCTATGGTGAACAGTGGTGCAATGAACACATGAGTTCATGTGTCTTTTTGATAGAATGTTATTTTCCTTTTGGTATATACCCAGCAGTGGGATTGCTGGGTTAAATGGAGGTTCTATTATAATTTCTTTGAGAAATCTCCAAACTGTTTTCCACAGTGACTGAATTAGTTTGCATTCCCCTCATCAGTGTGTAAGTGCTCTTTATTCTCTGCAGCCTCCATAGCATCTGTTATTTTTCGACTTTTAAATAATTGCCATTCTCACTGGTGTGAGATGGTATCTCATTGTGGTTTTGATGTGCATTTATCTGATAATTGGTGATGTTGAGTATTTTTATATGTTTATTGGCTGCCTTTATATTTTCTTTTGAGAGCTATCTGTTCATGTCTTTTGCCCATTTTCAACTGGATTATTTGTTTTTTGCTTGTTGATTTTTTAAAATTCTTTATAGATTCTGGATATGAGATCTTTGTCAGGTGCATAATATGTGAATATATTCTTCCATTCTGTGGACTTATTTGATTGCTCTATTGGTAATTTCTTTTGCTGTGTGGAAATTCTGTATAGTTTAATGAGGTTCCACTTGTCAATTTTTGTTTTTGTTGCAATTGCTTTTCAGCATTTAGCCATAAGTTCTTTGCCAAAGCTAGAATGTTGCGAAGGGTATTTCCTAGGTTTTCTTCTAGGATTATATAGCTTGACATCTTACATTTGAATCTTTAATCCATCTTGAGTTAATTTTTGTGTATAAATAGGGGTAGGTGTCCAGTTTTATTCTTCTGCATATGGCTAGCCAGTTATCCCAGAATCATTTATTGAATGGGATGTTCTTTCCCCATTGCTTGTTTTTGTCTATTTTTTTTTTTTAAGATTCGATTGTTATAGGCATTCACGTTTACTTCTGTGTTCTCTGTTCTGTTTCATTGGTCCGTATGTCTGTATTTGCACCAGCACCATGCTGTCTTGGTTACTGTAGCCTTGAAGTATAGTCTGAGTCTGGGTAATATGATGCCTCTGGCTTTGTATTCTTTGTGTAGGATTTCTTTGACTATTCACACTCCTTTTTTGGTTCCATATGAATTTTAGAATAGATTTTTTTTCTTATTCTGTGAAAAATGATGTTGGTGTTTTGATAGGAATGGCATTGAATCTGTAAGTAGCTTTGGGCAGTATGGCCATATTAGCAATATTGATTCTTACAATCCATGAGCATGGAATAATTTTTGATTTATTTGTGTTGTCTCTGATTTCTTTCAGCAGTATTTTTAGTTTTCTTGTAGAGATCTTTCAACTCTGTGGTTAGATGAATTCCTAAGTATTTCATTTTTTGTGGCTATTGTGAATAGACCTGTGTTCTTAATTTGGTTTTCAGCTAGAACATTGTTGGTGTATAGAAATGCTACTTATTTTTGTACATTAATTTTGTATCCTGAAACTTTACTGAAATCACTTTTTAGGTCTAGGAGCCTTATGGCAGAGTCTTTAGGGTTTTCTGAGTATAAAATTGTACAATCAGCAAAGAGAGATAATTTTACTTCTTCGTTTCCTATTTGGATGTCTTGTATTTCTTTCTCTTGCTGATTGCTCTGGCTAGAACTTCTAGTACCATACTGAATAGGAGTAGTGAGAGTAGGCATTCTTGTCTTGGTCTGATTCTCAAGGTGAATGGTTCCAACTTTTGCCCATTCAGTATGATGCTGGCTGTGGGTTCGTTATAGATGCCTCTTATTGTTTTGAGGCATATTCCTTCAATTCGTTCACTCTCAAGGGTTTTTTGTCATGAAAGGATGTTAGATTTTAATGAAGGCTTTTTCTGCATCTATTGAGATGACCATATGGTTTTGTTTTTTTATTCTGTTTATGTGGTGAATCACATTTATTAATTTGTGTATATTGAACCAGGGCTTCATCCAGAAATAAAGCCTACTTGATTATAGTGAATTAATTTTCTGATGTGCTGCTGGATTCAGTTTGCCAGTGTCTTGTTGAGGATTTTTGCATCTGTGTTGATCAAGAATATTAGCCTGAAGTTTTCATTTTCTGTGGTGACTCTCTGCTAGATTTTCATATCAGGATGATACTGGCTTAATGGAATGAGTTAGGGAGTATCCCCCCCTCCTTAAATTTTTGGAATAGTTTCAGTAGGATTGGTATCAGTTCTTCTTTGTACATTTGGTAGAATTTGGATGTGCATTCATCTAGTCCAGTGCTCTGTTTTGTTGGTAGGTTTTTTATTACCAATTTAATTTTGAAACTTGTTATTGGTCCATTTAGGTTTTCACTTTCTTTCTAGTTCAGTCTTGGGAAATTGTGTGTTTTTAGGAATTTATTCACTTTAATCTATATTTTCTAATATGTGTACATGGAGATGTTCATAAGTCTTGGGGGATCTATTGTATTTCTCTGGCATCTTTGTAATTTCTGATTGTGCTTATTTGAATCTTCTCTTTTTCTAATTTATTAATCTGCTAGTGGTCTATAAATTTTGTTTATTCTTTTGAAAAATCAACTCAGTTTTATTGATCCTCTCTATGGACTTCTGGTCTCAATTTTAATTCTTCTCTAATGTTAGTCATTTCTTTTCTTCTATTAGCTTTGGGGTTGAATTCTTTTTTCTAGTTCCTCTAGGTGCAATGTTAGATCATGAATTGGAGATCTTTCTAACTTTTTAATGAAGGTATTTAATTTCTCCTTTACTTATGAAGCTTAGTCTGGCAGCATATGTGATTTTTGGTTGGAATATATTTTTTAAGAGTGCTGATAACTGCCCCCCCACCAATTTCTGTCTTGTAAGGTTTCTGCTGAGAGGTCTGCTGCTAACCTGATGGGGTTCCCTTTGTAGGTAACCTGACCTTTGTAGCTGCCTTTAAGAATTTTTTTTTTTTTTTTTGCATTTACTTTGGTGAGTCTGATAACTCTGTACCTTGGGGATGGTCATCTTATACAGTATCTAGTAGGGGTTCTCTATATTTCTTCAATTTGTGTGTCTTCCTTTCTAGCAAGATTGAGGAAATTTTCATGAACTATATCTTCAAATATGTTTTCCAAGTTGCTTACTCTCCTCTTTCAGGAATGCCAATAGTCATAGATTTCGTATATTTACATCATCTCTTATTTCTCAGAAGTTTTGTTCATTTTTAAAATTTTTTCTTTACTTTTGTATGACTAATTTGATTTAAAAAACATTTTTGTTCATTTTTAAAATTCTTTTTTCTTTACTTTTGTATGACTGATTTGATTTAAACAAAAAAGTCTTCAAGCTCTGAAATTGTGTTCTCTGCTATATCTATTCTGCTGTTAATACTTTCAATTATATTACGAAGTTCCTGAAGTGAATTCTTCAGTTCCAGAAGTTCATCATGGTTCTTTCTTTCTTTTCTTTTTTTTTTTTTTTTTGAGGCGGAGTCTCACTCTGTTGCCCAGCCTGGAGTGCAATGGCACCATCTCGGCTCCCTGCAACCTCTGACTCCCAGGTTCAAGCGATTCTCTTGCCTCAGCCTCCTGAGTAACTGGGATTACAGGCACCCGCCATTACATCCAGCTACTTTTTATGTATTTTTAGTAAAGATAGGGTTTCACCATGTTGGCCAGAGTGGTCTCGACCTCCTGACCTCAGGTGATCTGCCCGCCTCAGCATCCCAAAGTGCTAGGATTACAGGCCTGACCCACCGTGCCCGGCCATCATGGTTCTTTCTAAAAAAGGCTATTTTATCTTGCAGCTCTTGGATCATTGTACTGGATTCACGAATTGGGTTTTAACTGTCTCCTGGATCAAGATGAGCTTCCTTGTTATCCAATTCTCAATTCTGTATCTGTCATTTTACTCATCTCAATGTAGTTAAAAATCATTTCTGGGACACAAGTGTGTTTGTTTGAGGGTAAGGGGACATACTGGCTTTTTGAGTTACCAGAAATTTTGCACTGATTTTTTCTCTTGTATGAGGGCCTGTGTTGCTTTACCTATTATGTAAGTTGAGTATAGTTAGTTGGCTTCATTTTAGGTGCTGCCCAAGGGCCAAGACTCTATACATAATCTTTATGTGTGGCTGAATTTTTGCCTGAGTTTTCACAGGCACTGTATACTGGCAAAATATTTTGGTGGTGTAATTTGGCCTATGATCCAGTAGGTGGAACTTAAGCCTGATGGCCTATGGATAGGCTCTTAGCTGCTTGACTTTTTGTATTTTGGTACATTGGCAATAGTGTATTGTGGACAAAAGAGAGACGACCCTCTCACTTGGTCTGATCCTGAGCCTTGGAGGAGCCCTCTCTGATCACTGGCTCCACGCTCACATTTCCTTTGCTAGGTCTTCTGGGCTGTGGGCTGCCTCAGGCAGGGGCTGTGGTTGGCAGACAGGCTATACCCTTCCCAGACCAGCCCTGTGGAGGGAGGTATGTCCCACTTCCCCACTGGCTCACAAACTTGGGTGTCACCCTCCTCAGCGTTCTGAGAATGAGGGCTCCCTCCCTGCTTATGTGCCACCCATGCTGGTGAGTCCTATCCAGCTAGAAGCAGTAGTGTGCATAGAGTTACTTGGCCTGCTGTCCAAGTGCTTCCCAGGGGAACACAGAGCTGCATTCACCCGCAGAATGTGGGCAGATATAGGGCACTATGCTGGAAGCAACAATTGGTGAGTCTTCCCCAGCTAGGAGCAGTGGGAGTGGATAGAGTCAACATTTTGCTGTCTAGGTACTTCTTGGGGAAACACGGAGCTGTGCCTGCCTACAGAGTTCAGACAGAGGTGGATCTGTCATGCTGGAAGCTTGAGCAGACGTGTCTTTCCCATTTAGGTAAGAGTGGGGATGGGTGGAGTCACTCAAATGTCCAGGTGCTTCTGGAGGAACATATAGCAGTGTCCTCTGGCAGAGTTCAGGCAGAAGTAGGGCTGCTGTGCTGGAAGCTATTGCTGACCCTTGTCTGACGAGGGGGAGTAAAAAAGTTTTACTGCCTCAAACACCATGTCCGGGGCCACTATTTGGGCTGTGGCAGCTGGTGCTCTGTTGCTCTGGAGAACAAGGCCTGCGGGGGTCCTCATGGACTTCAATGTTGCCTTCACAAAAACGAATGGCAGCTCTCTGTATCAGTCTAGAGGACAGAGTATTCTCCTGTTCCCAGGATTTCTCAGGTTCCTGTGATAAATGTGGATTCCACAGAGGCTCTCACTCACTCACCCTTGCCCTGTGTTGGGGAGTTTCTCTTGGCTCGGTGCTGATCCGCAGTGGGCTGCTGCCAGCTTCACGGTTTTCTGTTTGTGCCCCCTTGCCCCCTTGCCCCCTTGATGGGCCCTGACATGGTTTCTTAGATAGCTTTCAGGGTCAGTGTTTACTCTCCAGTTTGTTTCCTCTCCATGGCAGCAGCACACACTAGCTGCTTCTGATATAGGAGTTAAGAAAAAATACGTAGGCAGATAAGGTACATACAGGGATCCTCAGTAAGGTTTTCCTTTTAAGGAAAAGCAGCCCCCAAATGATTTTCTTTTCTAACAAAGAGCAGCCTGTAAAACCGAGCTGCACACATAGACAAGCAAGCTGGAAGCTTTCAGGGGTGATTGCTGGCAGTTGTGCCAGTAGGCAAAGGCTACCTGGGATTAGGCATGCTTAAAATGGCGGCGCCATCCTCCCTTCTTTTTGACAAATCACGTGTCCAGTAAGGAGAAGACAATATGGCCCTGGTCAAGCAAAGACCCCATTTGCCTGGTAAGATTACGGTGAGATAACCAGCCTTCCCTGGGTGCTATGTAAACCTCACAGCTGGTCCAACCAATCTGCGGTCCCTACATAAATCAGACACAACCTCCTCAAGTGTGCCTATAAAATCTCGCGCAGTCCATGGAGGGCTGGCTTTTCCCTTTCAGACGCCCCTCTCTCTCACGAGAGAGAGAGCTGCTCTCCTTTCTCTTTCTTTTGCCTATTAAACCTCTGCTCCTAAACTCACTCCTTGTGTGTGTCCATGTCCTTAATATTCTTGGCACGAGATGATGAACCCCGGGTATTTACCCCAGAGAATGATGCTGCTTCACTTCTAGTCTACCATCTTGCTTATTGCTACAAATGAATGAATTTTAAAATATCAAATTCTTTTCAGGATGCTTAATTAATGGCAGGTATGGCATAATCAGGTAAAATAAGATATACATTAAAATGTGAATATTTAGAATTATTGAATTTATGATTTAGAAATATTTCTAAAAGCTATCAAGATGATAGGCCCATGAAACACAGTTTCAAGATAACTATACACCTGTCTATAATTAAAGCACTGAACGATTAAGTGCTGGTGTCCACATTTTCAAAATTTTCATACTACAAAAATTGTATTCTGCAATGCCCAAAATATTCAACAGTGAGAGAATGCTATTTCCAGCATTTAATGCTAAAATTGTAAATTTATATTTATTTTCTGTTAAATATTGTTAAATATTGAAACCAAAGTGTTTTTTTTATGGATTTTAGCATTTTAAATTGCAGTGATGAGAAGCCTTTATCATCACTCTTCTCCAGGCATTAGAACTTTCAGCCTCATAAAGACATGCCCTACAATCTGCCTTAAAGCCACACGCTGCATTTATGACATGTCATTTGATGAGGGTTTATATGAGGATATAAAACACGCATGAAAAACAATTGTTCATGCTACTTCTCTATTAGGCTCATGTAAAACAACTGACTACATCAAACAAATTTCCTCATTTTTACTCTTTTCATAATACAAAGTGTTCTATTTTCCTTTTCTTCATTCTCACCAGCCCTTTGTTTTGATTGGTTATGATTGCTGTATGGATTTTCATAATGGATAAAACAAACATGTAAGTTTAAAGATGAAATATATATCACATTTTTCCCTCTCAAGTGAATGGTTTTTTCTTCGTGCCTAAAACATTAATCAACATAACTGTAACAACTTAAACAGACTATTATAGATGTGACACCTAGATTACTCTAAAAGCAGACAAAGTTAAATCTTCTTTGAAAGTGGTATCTACTATTATCTTTATCATGCCTCAGTCTTAAGGAAAGATTAGCATTTGTAACTGCTGAAGGTTTCGCTCAAGGAAAGCACACATAGTGGAGATAAATAACCCTAAAACAAATATAGGTGATTACTTTTACTCTTCATAGTATCTAAATGCAAATCTTAACAAAAAAAATCATAAATCTGCTTATACTCAAGTATGAATGACATCATTTTTTGCTATCACCTGAGGTAGCAACATTTAATGAATCTCAAATTCTACCCAAAATTTGTCTGTAGAACATGAGACATTGATAAAGAAGTTGAACAGATCTATGGTGCTGTTTTGTGGATTGCAAGTAGTCTTTTGGAGGCCTTTGAAATCACATTGTGTACTATACATTCAAAACATTGACAATGTCTAAAAATGGAACAATTGCTTTCCTAAAGGAATTGGAATACAGAAATACTTTCAATAATAATATTTGTCTTTTATGTCAGCATATAATGTTCTGCAGGTAACCAGGTTACAATTTTGTGTCTCGTTTTTGCAAAGTGAATCTTTTTATCATACTTTTTCAAACTATGTAATTGTCAAAGCAGAAGTGAATCCTTAGGTGTTAACAAAGTTTATGCTTTGTGCAAATATTGGTATTTGTGGCATTTAGCTTTCCAACCAGTCTAAAATAATGATATGCATCGAGAAATATGGCAAACAATATTCCTCCATAAATATTGACCATAATTATATGAGATGGATTGGTGTATATTAAGGAAATTTTTAAAAATGCTTATTTGCTTTCTTGTTCACTTCTCTTAGTTAACTCTTTAGTTGATACAAATACTTACTATCACTTGGTGTGTCTTCCCAGCTAGAAGCAGCAGGAGTGGATAGAGTCAACATTTTGCTATTAGCAAATAAATACCTATATTAGCAAATAAATGCCTATATTATTTGATTTTTTTTGCTTGAAATTACATAGCTTGAAATAAAAATTTGAAGATATTTCAAACCAATTTCTTCTATTGTTGGTCAGTTTTGGGGGAAATTTGATTTTTAACTTTCTTAGAGATTAGAACATCCAGTTAAGATTTCATCCACAGGCATCAACCCTTTAAAAAATTTAATTTTAGAGTACAGTTGGTACTCCATGACAACGTTTTGATCACATAAGATTATAATGGAGTGGAAAATTCCTATTCCTGAATGACACTGTAGTTGTCATAATGTCATAGCACAACACATTACTTTTCCTATGTTTAGATAGTTAACACACAATACTTACCTTTGTACTACAATAGCCTACAGTATTTAATATGATAATGATTGTGCAGGTTTGAGGCCTAGAAGCAATAGGCTGTACTAAATAGCCTAAGTGTGTAGTAGGTTTGTTTAAGTATGCCCTTTAATATTCATGCAACAACAAAATTGCCAAAAGACACGTTTTTCAGAATGTATTCCACTTGTTAAGTGATGTGTGGCTGTAATGAGTCATGGAGTCATGACTTGTATCTCTGAGATGTTATAAATTTTTACATCTCAGATATAACTATAAATTCAATATTTCTAGCTTCCAAATTCAAATTTGTAAGACTCCTTATTATTTTAAAATAAGGAATTCTGCTGCCTCATAAAAGTAGTTAAGCTAGAATGACCACTGTAGGCTGTTGGGAGGTTGTTTTTTTTTTGTTTGTTTTTTGTTTTTTTAAAAAAAGGCAGAAGTATCAAACTTAGTTGTGACATTAAAATTAAAAGAAAAGTGGTCAATGTGGCAGAAACACAAGAGTTAAGAAACTCTGGGTTCTGAGGTGAGTTACAGGTCAAACAGATCTACAATTTCAGTTTAGTGATATGCATCTTCCTTGACCTCTTTGACTAAGTATAAAGCCTGAGTCCACATGACATAGAAAATAGAAAATAGACTTCATTCATCTCTGTCCTAAAATCACATGTATTTTCTCCTCATTTCTTTTCATCTGTCCTAAACACAGCAGATGTCTGATCTGCCTTACTCAATGCATATATTGCAAAGAAAAGGTGTCAATTAAAATGTTAGGAAGAAGTAATGAGGAAATTCTGTCATCTATAGGCTATCTAAAGTTTGGTTCTATTTAATCATATATTTTTCTGGAATAATGAAGCCTAATTCTTACCCATGATTATATCTAGAGTTTTAAGAAATCACTGCAGCCAGACTCTTATTGGCCTGGTCTTCTGTTATCCATTTCAGTGAGGTACTACTTTTTTGACAACATTTTAATTTCAGGATTTTTAAATAAGCATTAATGGAAGAGAGAAAGAGAGTGTGTTTGAACAATAAAAATTATGGCTAATATTAACAAATAATGTAATTTCATTAAGTGTTATATTTAAAGTATAGTTTTCTCTTTGGTTTCAATTTTCCTAACAATGATACATATAAAGTATAATAATCAGACTAATAGGAACAAATTGTGGCATTTTAATTAGGATTAATAGCTCACTTTTAAAGGTAATTAATTTGGTTATTTTGTCTACTCTAAAACTTTAACTTTTGAGAATAATAAATGAAATGAGTATATTGAATAGTCCATCTAGTTTTCTTAATACATAATATTTGTACATACTTATATAGTACATGTGATATTTTGTTTCATGCATAGACTCTGTAGAGATCAAGTCAGAGTATTTGGGGCATTTATCATTTTGGTAAAATTCCTATGTTTTGGGAACATTTCACTCTATTATTCTATTCTATTCTATTCTATTCTATTCTATTCTATTCTATTCTATTCTATTCTATTCTATTCTAGCTATTTTGAAATATACAATACGTTGGTATTAACTATAGTCACCATATTCAGCTATCGAACATTGGAAATTAGTCCTTTTATCTAACTGTATGTTTATACCCATTAACCAATTTCTCTTTATCCCTCCCTCTCTCCACACACACATCCTTCCCAACTTCTGTTATCTATTATTTTACTCTCTACTTTCATGAAATCAGCTTTGTAACTTCCACATATGAGTAAGAACATGCAATATTTGTTTTTCTGTGTCTGGCTATTTGGCTTAGCATGATAACTTCTAGTTCCATCCATGTTGTGGCAAATAACTTGGTTTTATTTGTTTATCGTAATTATCTTTTTTTGAGATGGAGTCTCGCTCTGTTGCCCAGGCTGGAGTGCAAGGGTGCAATCTTGGCTCACTGCAAACTCCACCTCCCGGGTTCAATGAAGAATGTATATTTTGCTGTCCTTGGGTAAATGTTGTATAAATATCTATTAGGTCTATTTGTTTTATAGTGCAGATTTTAACTCCAATGTTTCTTTATTGATATTTCTGTCTGGAAGATCATCCCAATGTTTCTGAAAGTGGGGTGTTGAAGTCTCTAGTTATTATGTTGGGGTTTCTCTGTCTCTTTAGCTCTGATAATATTTGCTTTATATATCTGGGCACCCCAGTACTGGGTACATGTATATTTATAATTATTATATATTATCTTCCTGAATTGGCTCCTTTATCATTATATAATGACATTGTTTCTCTCTTCTTATAGTTTTTATCTTGAAATCTATTTTGTCTGATATAAGTATAGCTACTCCTGATTTTTTTGGTTTCCATTGTTATGGAATATCTTTTACCATTCCTTTTTTTTCATTCTATGTATGTCTTTATAGATAAAGTGTGTTTCTTGTACAGAACAAATCATTGATTGAGTCTTCGTGTCTTTTGATTGGAGAGTTTTGTCCATTTACATCCAATGTCATTATTAGTAAGTTGGGACTTACTGCTGCCATTTTTTTATTTGTTTTTCAGTTGTTTTATGGTGTTCTCTTCTTTTTTATCTTCCTGTCTTCATTTTAATGAAGGTGATTTCCTCTGATTCTATGCTTTCTTGTTTTATATTTTTTGTGTATCTATTGTATGTTTTTAAATTTGAGGTTACCATGAGGCTTCCACACACTATCTTATAACCTATTATTTAAAACTGATGACAACTCTAATTGTAGTTACAAGCAAACACACAAAATGGAACAAATAAAAACTCTTCACTTTAACTTCATCCTTCCGGTTTTTAACTTTTTGTTGTTTCTCTTTATAACTTATTGTACTGTCTATGTCTCAAAAAGTTATAGTTATTATATTTGATTGGTTCATCATTTAGTCTTTCTACTTAGATCAAGAGTACTTTAAACACCACCATTAAAATAAGATACTGTTCTGTGTTTTTCTGTGTGTTTACTATTACCAGTGAGTTTTGTACCTTTCAATGATTTATTCTTGCTCATTAACATTCTGTTCTTTCAGATTGAAGAACTTCCTTTAGCATTTCCTATAGAACAGGTCTCGTGTGGATGAAATCCCTCAGCTTTTGCTTGTCTGGGAAGGTCTTTATTTCTCCTTCATGTCTGAAGGATATTTTGACTGGATATACTATTCTAGGGTAAAAGTTTATTTCATTCAGCACTGTAAATATGTCATGCCAGTCGCTCCTGGCTTGTGAAGTTTCCCCTGTGAAGTCTGCTACCAGACAAATTGGATCTCCAATTTATGCTATTTGTTTCTTTTCTCTTGCTGCTTTTAGAATCTTCTTTATCCTTGACCTTTGGGAATTTATTATTAAATATGTTGAGGTAGTCTTATTTGGGTTAAATCTGTTTATGCTCTATAATATTCTTATACTGAATGTTGATATCTTCCTCTGCATTTGGGAAGTTCTCTAATATCCTTTTGAATAAACTTCTACCACTATGTCTTTGCTCCTTTTAAAAGCCAGTAACTCTCAGATTTGCCCTTTTGCATTTTTCAACTTTAGAATTTCTGGTTGGTTCTTTTTATTTCAATCTCTTTAGTAAATTTATCTTATAGAATTCTGAATTCCTTCGCTGTGTTAACTTGAATTTCTTTGGGTTTTTCCAATAGAACTCTTTTGAAGTCTCTGTCTGAAACATCTATCTCTGTTTCTCCAGGATTAATCCCTGGTGCCTTATTTAGTTCATTTGGTGAGGTCATGTTTTCCTGGATGGTGTTGATGCTAGTAGATGTTCTTCAGTGTCTGAGCATTGAAGAGTAAAGTATTTATTGTAGTCTTCACACTGTGGGCTGGTTTGTGCCAGTCCTTCATTTATTTTATTTATTTATTTATTTATTTATTTATTATTTATTTATTTAGTGAGACAGAGTTTTGATCTTTCACCCAGGCTGGAGTGATGCGGCACAATCTCGGCTCCCTGCAACCTCTGCCTCCCAGGTTCAAGCTATTCTCCTGACTCAGCCTAGCAAGCATCTAGGATTATAGGTGTCCACCACCATGCCTGGCTAATTTTTGTATTTTTAGTAGAGACAGCATTTTACCATGTTGGCCAGACTGTTTTCAAACTCCTGACCTCAGGTAATCCACCAACCCCGGCCTCCCAAAGTGCTTCAATTACAGGCATGAGCCACGACACCCAGCCCTTGCCTGTTCTTCTTGAGAAGGCTTTTCAGGTATTTGAAGGGACTTAGCATTCTGATAATGTCGTGGTTTTTGAAGATTTGTACTGGTACTACCTTGGTGGTCTTGGATAAGATCTCTAAATTACTAACCAGAGACTCTTCTTTTCTCCTACTTTCTCCCAAACAAATGGGGTCTCTCTCTTTTTCTCTCTATGCTAAGCCTCCTGGAACAGGGGGTGTGGTCCTTCAAGCACCTGTGTATCCACTACCACTGGTACTGTGCTGGATCACACCTGAAGCCAGCATAGCACTGAGTCTTGCCCAGGGTTCTTCCCTTCAGGGCAGCAAATTCCCTCAGGTCCTGAACATGCCCAGAGATAATGTCTGGGAGCCAGAGATTGAAGTAAAATGTCTTAGCAGTTTACCTGATGTTTTATTCTACCGTGGCTAAATTGAAACAGAGACCAAAATACAAAGTCATTTTGCAGTTCCCTCCCCTTTCCACAAGCAGAGAGGCCTCTCCCTCCAGCCACCACCAACTGCCATTTCACAGAGGTTCTGCCAGGGTACTGCTAATGTTCACTTAAAGCCCAAGGGCTCTTCTGTCAGTTTGTGGTGAATGCTGCTAGGCCTGGAACTCACCCTTCAGGACAGTGGGTGCCTCTCTGGCCCAGAATAGGTCCAGAAATGCAATCCAAAAGCATAGGTCTGGACTTGGGGACCCCAAGAGTCTGCTGTTGCTCTACCTTAGTGTGTCTGAGCTGGTACCTAACACGCAAGGCAAACTCTCTTTTACTTTTCCCTCTGCTTTTCTCAAATAGAATAAATCATTCACCATAGCCACCACACCTTAGAATGTGATGAGTCACCCTTGAAGCCAGCACATTCCATAGCTGAAGGTCTGAATATTCCCTATATATTGCTGCTTGTTACTCATGGCCCAAAGTCTCCTTAGTCAGCAGGTGATAAATCCTGCCAGGACTGACTCCTTCCCTTCTAGGTAGTGAATTCCTTTTTGGCCCAGGGTGTGTCTAGAAATTTCATCAAGAAGCTAGGGCCTGTAATTGGGTCCTTGTGACTGCCCAGTGCCCCATCCTACTGTGGCTGAGCTAGTATCCAAGATGCAAGACAAAGTCCTCTTTACTCTTTGCTCTGCTCTCCTTAAGCAAAGGAAGGAGTCACTTTTGTTGCTGTAAGCTGCACTGTCTTGGGTTGGGTGAGGGATAGTGCAAGCACTCCCTTAGTCACACTAGCTGATGTCTCCCTAGGTAATGAGCCACTCCAATCCACTAGCGCTAAGCCCAGCCTAGCACCAAGAGTTGCTTAGGAATTACAATCCTTGTGATCCAGACAATCTTTCAAGTTTGCCTGGAACCCCAGAGCACTTCAGCCTGTGGCGGTGAGGCTTGACTAGAAACTCAAGATCCGATGGCTGGAATAGATGATTCCCCTTTGGTTAGGGATAGTTCAAATGCTCCCTCCCTGCACAGTCACTGGCTGAACCCGATATGGCTTTATTCTCCATTGTGACAGGGCAGCACTGAGTTTAACATACAGTCCTTCCAGTCACTGCATTCACACTTCCAAAAAAAGAACAGGTTCTCTCTCCATTCCGTGCAGCCACTACATAGGCATGGGGGACACGTGTTAGCCATTCAGGACTGTCTTTCCTGCCCTCCTCCATGCCTCTTTCACTAATATGAAGTTAAATCCAGGTACTATGATTTCTCACCAGATTTTCAATTCTTCTGATGGTGCTTTTCCAATATGAAGATAATTATTAAAATTTGGTGTTCCATAAAGGGGAATGAATGGTGTAGGCTTCTCTTCCACAATCTTGCTCTGTCTCTTTTAAATTTTGTTCATTAACATCAAGTAAATACATGTACCAACTAACACATAGAATGTACATTAAAATTGTATTCCAATAAAGCTATTTTTAAAAACTTGGTCATATTTCGCTTTCCTAAGTATATGTGATGGTTAATTTCATGTGTCAACTCAACTGGATCACATGATATCCAGACATTTGACCAAACGTTATTTTGGTTGTGACTGTTAGGGTGTTTCTGGAAGAGATTAACATTTGTATTGGTAGACTAAATAAAGCAGGTTGCCCTCTCCAATGTGGATGGGTCTCATCCAAAAAACTGAAGACCTGAATTGAACAAAAAGGCTGAATAAGGGAGAATTCCTTCTGCCTGACCCACATGAGCTAGGATCTTGGTCTTTCCCAGTTTTCTGGCTCAGATGGAAACTTTGGCCAATCTTTATTTTAAGCCTGCCAGCTTTCAGATTGGCACCTACATCATCACCTCTTCTGTTTATCAGGCCTTTTAACTCAGACTGAAATTACACATCAGGTTCCGGGTCTGCATAATCATATAAACTAACTTCTATAACATATCTACATATATGTCTTGGTTCTTTTTATCTGAAGAACTGTGACTAATACAGTACTTAAAATGCAAAAGGGTGATAAATAATATAAACTTTCTTATGTGACACACATTTCTTTATAACAATCATGCTTTAAGTTTGAAAGATAAATATTCTAGGAACATTTTTAATGGTCTTTAAAAGAATCCAGCTATATTTGCTCCACACTATCATTAAGTGGAAAAATAGTGACAAAACAAAAATTATAAAAAATACATCAGTTTCTGTCATCTGTCTTGTATTCTGCCTGTTAATTTTCTTTTAAGTAAATCAGATTACAGAAATTACATTTACATGTGGATGAGAAAAGAGACACAAACTTCTGACTTTACAGATGGCTGTTTTTCTTAATTATATGGATAACAGTTTAGAAATAACTAATTGGTCATGGCTGACAAGTAATAGCAGTTTTTCCAAGATAAACAAATGTTCACATTTTTCATACTTAATCAGAGACTTTATGTGCAAAAATGACCAACTGTATCATCTATTCTAAGCCTCCTGTGTTGTTTTGTAATAAACGACCATCTGTACTCTGATTTGACTGAGTTTGTCTGTGATGACCAGAGAATCTGATTACATGACAGAAGGTTTTGGAAGAACTTATCTTTACAGGAGTAAGCAGACAAACACTTTTCAATATTTTGTCTGTACTCTCCAAACATATCTCTGTTTCTTTTAATGAAAAGGTAAAATCCAAGATATCAGTGTCTTCATACCATTCTGTTTGATTTTTTTGATTTTTATAAATTATACAAAACATGAAGGTGAACTAATAAGTAGTACATTCATGGTCAATGTTAGGCTTATTAACAAAAAAACGTAAATTATGCTTTTGTGTTAATAGGCTTGGTATATTAATATGGAAACTTTTGTCTGAAATATGAGGGAGAGCTAAAGGTAGCACATTCATGGTTAATGTTAATAGAATTGGCTAAACAGAAAATAATCTTTGCCGCTGCTGGTACTTTTAGCCTATGGAGAAAACATCGGGTATTATAGAGATTCTGTTGTAGGGAAGTTGTAGTTAGTAGATCCTTTATCTAACTTATTCTTTGATCTATTTGATTTTAGGCAGTTTGGTTTACAGGAACCTTGGGTAAGGAGCATATTCCAAACTCTTGGTATTACCCTTGTGATAGTCGTAATAGTTGTTTAGCATAATTTTCACAAGAGAGTCTAAACACAAATCTATGGAGCTCTGAAATCCAAGAAAGAACTTACCTATAATCCCCCAGCTGCTATGAGAGATCAATGGATACAAGTGGGTCCTGTAGGTACCTTGCTTATTCACTCAGTGCTCCTGGGGGTTGTGAGAATATCTACTTAGGACCTGCTTCTGACACCACCTGTTAAAGGAAAAACTTCAGCTGAATTAAATTTAAAGGGGTTTGATTGAGCAATGAATGATTCACGAATCAGGAAGCCCCCAGAATCACGGCAGATTCAGAGAGACTCTAGAGCAGCCATGTGGTGGAAGAAGATCTATAGACAAAAAAAGGGAAATGAAATGCAAAATCAGAAGTGAGGTACCGAAACAGCTGGATTAGTTACAGGTTGGCCTTTGCCTTATTTGAACACAGTTCAAACAATTGGCTGCATTTGACTGACAAAAACTCAGTGATTTGCACTGGTATGGGCTGTGGTCGGTTTCCACTTCCACTTGTTATACTTCATGATGTACAGAAAAACATTCAGGCTGAATTTAAATTTGTAAGGAGGTAGCTTTACACTAAACTTAAACACCAGGAACTAATTGATATACTAAGAGAATGTGACTGTGATTGTTAATCTAAACTGTTAGGAGTGGTTCCTTCTGTACATTGGTGTCTGCCATATAAGTGTCAAATACATGTATTTTGATGGTATAAATACCAGACCAGACTCAGGCAGCTCTATCTCATCATAAAATAGCCAACAGGAGAAAATTACATTCTAGATGCTGGGCATAGTAGAAAATTCCTAAATTTATCTACAATGATAACATAGTTTTTACTATATTAATTAAAACCTGTTCCCATTCTAATAGTCTATACCCTACTCAGCCCATTTGCAGAAAAGACCGCCTTAGGGCAATCCTCCAGATAGAATGGAGCTCACCAAAAGATGTGTTGGCAATTTCAATTAACACAGAAACTTGTTTCTCTCCCTTGGCTGTGTTAAGCAGAGCATATAAAATATAATTCATGAGATAAAACTGAGAAAACTTTTAAAACACATTTCAGAAAAAGAAAACACAAACAAGAACAAAGGAGGGTGGTTTATCATGTAAACAAGGGCAGTTTCTCTGAGTTAAAGAAAATTTTAAGTATTTAGAATAAAATGGCCCACTGAGTGGCAAGTAAGTTTCTTAAAGGAGAAGGAAGGAAGAAAAGTCACTTGAGTATACTCTTTTGACGACTGACCCTAACAAGAATTAGAAAGAAGATAAATATATTAACTTTTTTTTTCATTCGCCCTGCGAATGCTTACTGGTAGTGCTTGCGGCTGCAGCATTTACCCTGAGATAACTTTGCCACGAATTATTTTTCTTTTATTATTATTTTCTCATCACTATAGTATGCCAAGTTTGGAAACAAAAGATATCATTCTATTTATAACATTCTGTTTTTAGTGATGGTATTTCCATTTACGAAATATAGTAATTCTTGGCCCCTGAAAATGTCACATCCTAGAACACATAGCATTCCTATGCATTACGTTAACATCGTTCTCAAATGGTTTTTGGGTGAAGATCCGTTTGATGAATCCAGGTTTTCCAAAATAGACAATTTTGATGATTCAGATGATTCTGATGTTAGCTCTGCTTAGAAATAACTCCAAAAACAGTTTTTATTTTTTATTTTCACACTGAAAATGAGTCAGATTTTCTTTAGCCCCAAAGAGTATGTTTATGTAAATTTAAATGAGCACTGGCAGTGAGCTGCACTTTTGTTTCTAAACAAGAAAAGGGTTAATGAAACTATTATGCTCAATTTTGATAGCACTTACATTAACAAAAAAATTGATGGACTATAACATGCATACAGAAGAGTGTCAACATATTAATGCTCATTAATCTGAATCAGATTGAAGGATATTATGCTCAATTACATACCTATTAATTTTGAATTCTAGATGAATTACAATTTTGAAGGAATAAATGAATTATGAATATATGTATTAAACTCTCTTAGAAAAGCTAAATTGACCTGTGTATGTATATAATAAGAGTTTAAGCCCTTCTAAACTTTTAACTTCTGTGCACATCTGCCTGAAGATTTTCTGTAAAAATTAAAGAAAAATCAAGGGCAACATAATTTCTTTCCTCCTAAAAATTTCCAACATGGATTAAAAAGTGCACATTTTCTCACTCCATTCTCAGTCTATTATAAACAGAGAGTTTATATGCAGTGGCAAGCCCTAAACCAATTTTGTTTATTAACATGGAAAAACAATTATAAATAAAATATTTGTCAGTTATAACCAATATGATATTATAATAATGAAGATACCATAATCTTAGACTTAGCTAACTGACTTTACTCTGTATTGTTTCTTTTTTTATATAACTACTTGAATTCTTCATTATTCTATTCTTTCTCTCACTTCTTAAGTATAGTATACATCAACATTCAGTCATTAGATTTTTTTCCTTGGCTGATCTATATTTTCTCCAAGGAGATAAAATCTAATGTCTTGACTTCCTATATTTATCTCCAAAGTTGGTGTTCCTCTTAAAATTTATTGTCCAATATCTAATTTGTTTCCATCCCCTTCCCCAGTGTAAAATTAATTCTATATATTCCAACAAATTAGTCATTCTAAAACATTTCCTTCCTGTGACACTTCTCTATTTGAAAACAATAACCAAAAAATTTCAGGCCTCTTAGTTTGGCACTAAACACCTTTTTCAGTGTGGACATTATCAGCATATACACATTCATCTTTCTGTGTGCTTTGATGAAAAAAATGTATTCATTCAAGCTCATTTGTTTATATTTCTCCGACACACATCACTAATTCACAGCTTTCATCCTTTGCTTACACTTTCATTCTGACTTAATATCTGTCTTTCTTTGCATTTCCATTTTATGATTTCAACGTCAGCACCTATTTCATAGTTGATTTACTGTGAATTCTTTCCAAGTTACAACCTTCCTTATAATACTCTATTCTTATTGCATTCATAATTAATATGTATATGTAGATAAATTCTCCATAATAAAATATATCTAAGAAATTGTTTTTGAATTTATTCATACAAGATTTAGAAGCCAGAAAATTAACCTCCATTCATAAAATAATTGAAGTAAAAGTAAAGGAAAACATAAGCAAAGAGAAGATTTAGACATGTGTTCCTTAAAATGTCATTGTATATTTAGGAAATAAGGATCTATGAAATCATTCTTAATAGATTTAAGAAATAAAAGTGAGGTAAAATAAGGATAGTTCAGAATTATTAAAAATAACAATAGAATCTATTTGGAAAAAATGTTAATAATACATTCAACTGTATGTTATTTTGTTCTTATTGAAGAGTGTATTTGTTTCCTTCGTAAATAACAAATTCAAATTGTTTATTTTTCTGTTTGTTAAAGGTTTCTACAGTTTACACTGACTTTCTTCAAAATACTAACAGATGACATAGTAATGAGAAAAGAAAGTAACTCAATTAATGTACTGAATTGTTACATGCTATTTTAGGGAAGACTTTCCTCCCACACCAAACAGTAGACATGGGCTAGGTATCCTCCAGTGAAATTCTGTCACTATCTACCTGAAGACTGTGTCAAGTCACACAGGGTGAGGGCACAGTCCCCAAGACCTACACCTGCCCCACTTGTCACAAGTCTAGGCCTCTAGAATTTCTGATCAGCTGGCTTCAAGTTGGAGCTCCCACAATACCCTCTTTGGATTTGATTAATTTGCTGAAGCAGCTCACAGAATTCAGGGAAACACATGTGCTGAATTATTAGATAGGATATTACAAAGGATGCAGATGAATGAGGTATGGGGGAAGGGACTGGGAGCTTCCAGGCCCTCCCTTCCATGCCCATCCTCCAGGATTCTTTCTGTGTTCAGTTTATGGAAAGCTCTCCAAAGCCAGTCTTCTTGAGTTTTTGTGGAAGCTTCATGATGTCAGCGTTTCTTCCCCTAGGATATAGGATGAGATCTTCTGTGGGGAGGGTTTTAAGACCCATAATTAGAAAGACAGGGGAATATTAAAGTCCTGCCTTGGGGCGGGTAAAAGGAGTACAGGAGAAGGTCAGACAGATTCTGTTTCCGGAGGCCTGCCCCTGAGACCTAACATACCCAATATTCTAATAAAAGACTGTAATAAGAGCTTATGGGAACTAGAAGCCCACAACTGAAGGAAAAACAATATATGTCCATATCATTCATAACACCACAAGTGCTTTTATGATATTGTAAGCATACAAATGAAATAAAACTTGTTGATCATCTGTTAGGAAACTAAGATTCCAATGAACTAAGAGAGATAGACAGATGACACTATTCCCCTGAAGTAGGATAGTGAAGGTATATTGCTGAGCTTGCCAGTTGAAAGAAAACTGCTTCTGGAGATCTTTTATAGCAAGTATAGTCATGTACTGCATAAAAACGTACCTGTCAATAAAAAGTATATATATGTATATATATATGTATATATATGTATATACGTGTATATATGTATATATATGTATATATGTGTATATGTGTATATGTGTATATATGTGTATATATGCATATATATGTGTATGTATATAAAACAATAGCCTTGTAAGATGACACCATATATATTTACTGTACCTTTTCTATGTTTAGAAGTGTTTAGATACACACATATGTATGATTATCTTACAGTTGCCTACAGTATTTGGTATGGTAATATGCTGAACAGATATGCAGCCTAGGGGCAACAGGGTATACTATATAGCCTAGGTGTGTTATAGGCTATGCCATCTATGTTTGTGTGAATACATTCTGTGATGTTTACACTACAAAATTACCTAATGATGCATCTCTCAGAATGTATTCTTATTCTTTTGTGACACATAACTTTATTGGAGCAAAAAAAAAACATTTTCCAGATCAATAGCTGCATACCAGATCAACAACTGCAAACCAGGTGCTAGAGGTTGTGTTAATTTAATGAAGCAATGATATGATATTTGGTACAGAGCTGTAATAGTAGACATCATCTGGTTAAACTTTGATAGTAGTAGTATAGGTTTAGGGACCTACTGAGTCCTTCATAATATGAACCTAAGCTAAAACTCCATTGATCATCTGATCTTCTTAAGTCCCCACTCTGGTGGACCACAGTGAAATTTTGGGTTTCCTGGTCAGTTCAGAGACAGTGTCCAGTAGTTTTCAAAAGGTATTATTATTATTTCCTTTTCCCCAGTGAACAGTGACTCAGGTAAAAAGATGTAATTCTTTTTGTTAAAGGCTATGAGAAAGATTAACAGTAATACAATTTTTGGCAGCAAATCAGGATCCTTTTTTATGAAAATCTAGCCTCTTCTTCATTCAAGGGGTTTTGGGTTGATAAACTGGCTCAAGCCAGGGAATTGATTGAGGAGCCATGACTCTGTTTCTATGATTCAAGTTAAACGTTTGTTCACTTGACCTAGAAGTATTTTGTGAATACTAATCGAGAAAGTATTTAGTAGGCTTACTATCATTTTTGATTTAGGAACACCATGATAATTTAGCCAATGCTATAGGTCTGCTTGAGTCAGACTATTCTGACTGCTGCTTTGACTCTGCTGTCTATTATGATAATCACACTCCACCTTATCTCTGTCAGTTGAGGGCTGCCACATGTCCCCTGCCACTTTCAGATTTTATTACCTCCATTGCATTTAGGTGCCTTAATTCAGTGACTGCAGTACCCACTGTGAGGTCTGACCTGTAGCAAAGAGTGATCACATAGTTCTTCAACGTTGCTAATGCTCCCTCACAAATTTATTTTTCACTTTATTAGTCATAAGTATGTCTTCTCAATCCTCCTGTTGTAGGTAAGTCTTAAATTACAAATTCACTCTAGCAATCCTTAGGCCTTTGAATCTTTTCCTCAACATTAAACGAATTGGCTCACAGTGGGCTACCTTTTGATCTTGTTGCATCCAACAAAACAAACACACTGTGAGAGCACTTTCTAACTTCCTTGGCTGTAATAATAAATACTGAGTCTCTGGTTGGTGAGCCCATATCAATAACTTTTCTCTGATCCAACTTTATCTTTCTTCCATCATTATCCCACACTCTTAATATCCATTCTTATGCATATTCCCTGGATTTCTGTCTGTATCAATTAGGAAAGTAATTATTTTGGACTCTAATACACCTCCTAATGTATTACACTTTGCATATCATCTTTATGGACCTCCTGGAATTTGAGTTTAATTATAGATCTAGAAGCCAAGATGGGTGATGGGGTGGTTCTTGAGGAAACTCAGCATTGTCTCACATGGCAACTGCCTGAGGTAAGGTCATTATAGTTTCCTCAGGAAATACAGAGTTAATTCCTTCAGAGGTCAGATTCCACTTCTATGGGGCATGAAGAGGCCTCTTCCACTGGTAAAGAAGACATAATAACCCTAGAAGAAAACGTAGGCAATACCATTCAGGACATAGGCATGGGCAAGGACTTCATGACTAAAACACCAAAAGCAATGGCAACAAAAGCCAAAATTGACAAATGGGATCTAATTAAACTAAAGAGCTTCTGCACAGCAAAAGAAACTACCATCAGAGTGAACAGGCAACCTACAGAATGGGAGAAAATTTCTGCAATCTACCCATCTGACAAAGGGCTAATATCCAGAATCTACAAAGAACTTAAAAAAAATTTACAAGAAAAAAAAACCATCAAAAAGTGGGTGAAGGATATAAAAGACCCTTCTCAAAAGAAGACATTTATATAGCCAACAAACATATGAAAAGAAGCTCATCATCACTGGTCATTAGAGAAATGCAAATCAAAACCACAATGAGATACGATCTCATGCCAGTTAGAATGGTAATCATTAAAAAACCAGGAAACAACAGATGCTGGAGAGGATATGGAGGAATAAGAATGCCTTTACACTGTTTGTGGGAGTGTAAATTAGTTCAACCGTTGTGGAAGACAGTGTGTCGATTCCTCCAGGATCTAGAACTAGAAATGCCATTTGACCCAGCAATCCCATTACTGGGTATATACCCAAAAGATTATAAATCATACCACTATAAAGACACATGCACAAGTATGTTTATTGTGGCACTATTTACAATAGCAAAGACTTGGAGCCAACCCAAATGTCCATCAATGATAGACTGGATTAAGAAAATGTGGCACATATACACTATGGAATACTATGCAGCCATAAAAAATGATAAGTTCATGTCCTTTATAGGGACATGGATGAAGCTGGAAACCATCATTCTCAGTAAACTATTGCAAGGACAGAAAACCAACCCACCGCATGTTGTCACTCATAGGTGGGAACTGAACAATGAGAACACTTGGACACAGGGCGGGGAATATCACACACCAGGGCCTGTCTTGTGGTGGGGGTATGGGGGAGGGATAGCATTAGGAGAAATACCTAATGTAAATGACCAGTTGATGGGTGCAGCAAACCAACATGACACATGTATACATATGTAACAAACCTGCACATTGTGCACATGTACCCTAGAACTTAAAGTATAATAATAAAAAAAAGAAGACTAATCAAAATTTAGGGGCTCCATTTTTCTAAACAATGTTTTCCCACACATATTCATTTCAACTTTCAATGTTCCATTCTTTCCCAATCAAAGACTTCACTTACCAGTAGAAACACTATGAGGTTGTAAAAGTTCACCTTGCATTGTGATTCAGAAAGTTTCAGGATAAGACCCTGAATTTGATGTTTAGCATTCTCAGTCCAGTGGTGATAGGAGAACTGTTTCCTTAAGGGCACACACATTAGATTCAGGTCATTTATTGAGTGCTTGAGCTGGAATTGGAATTTCCAAGCTCATTATTTCTTTCCTCACTTTAGCAACTTTAGGTGCAACTAGCCAATCTCATTATATGTCTTAGCTTGGCATCATGTTTAAAAGTATCACATACACAATCACTGAAATACTTGCTTTTTATAAGATGTTGAGCAGGAGCATCCAATGCTAATATTTTGCATATCTCTATTTTCAAATTCCATTATGGACCATTAGTATACTCTTTACTACTGCAAATAGACTCATGATCATCTTTAAATCTAATCAGAGGGTCAATTTCAAAAACCCCAGGATCAATTAGAAAACTCATCCTTAAAATTATGTTTCCCTAGCACCACTCTTGGTACCAAAATCTGCATTAGTTGGGGTGGTTCAGAAAAACAGAGCCAATAGGATGAATAAATATTCTTATAGTTTTATAAGGAATTGACTCATCTAATAATGAGGGATGAGGCACCCCAATATCTGCATTCATAATTATGCAGATCCAGAAAAGCACATGGTGCAGTTCAAGTCAAAAGGCTGCCAGGCTCAAGACCCAGCAAGAGCTGATGTTTCAGCTCAAACCTCCAGGCTGGAAAAAAAAAAAAAAAGTGAATGTCCAGCTAAAAGGCAGCCAGTCAGGAAGAGTTCTTCCTTATCCACATGAGGGTCAGCCTTTTGGTTTTACTCAGGTCTTTGACTAACTGAGTGAGAATCACTCATATTGGGATAGGCAATATGCTTTACTCAGTATACTGATTCAAATATTAATCTCATCTAAAAACACCCTAACAGCCACACCAAAAATAATGTTTATCAAATGTCTGGCCCAGATAAATGGACATATAACATTGAGAATCACAACTATAAACTCAATATAGTGTGCTTGTATTTGCTTAATTTAATTACTTTACAGAAAGCTAGGTATTGTTCTTTTACTAATTAAAAAAGAAGGGGTATATCTTGACTTGTTTAAAATAATAAACTTTTAAAATATAGTCATAAATTAAAACTCATTTTATTTGAATTAATATTTATGTGTTTTTTATTTCACATATTTCAGTTGGTTTTTGTTTGTTTGTTTGTTTGTTTGTTTTTGAGATGGAGTCTCACTCTGTCTCCCAGGCTGGAGTACTGTGGCACGATCTCGACTCACTGCAAGCTCCTCCTCCCGGGTTCACGCCGTTCTCCTGCTTCAGCCTCCCAAGTAGCTGGGACTACAGGCTCCTGCCACCATGCCCGGCTAATATTTTGTATTTTTTAGTAGAGACGGGATTTCACCGTGTTAGCCAGGACGGTCTCGATCTCCTGATCTTGTGATCCACCCGCCTCGGCCTCTCAAAGTATTGGGATTACAGGCTTGAGCCACCGCGCCTGACCTTTAGCTGGTTTCTAAATGAGCATGAGATTAACAGAATAAGATGGAAAATAGTTTTCATTTTTATTATTTCATACGGACAACTGGACTGGGAAAGAGGTTGGTCTTATGAAACTGAGATATAAACTTTAGTGAGCAATATTGGAAAGATCAGCTGTAGAAAATTATGGCATGCCTTCTATGAGATATGAAAAAGCATAGATTTTATTTTGCACATAAGCAAGTGTCATAAATTGGAGAATGCCTAACATTTAATAAGAAAAGTCTAGATTTCTAAAATATGAGTTTCGAAATGATGATTAATTATGGAATTTTTAAATAAATCACATTAAGTGAAGACAATCTGGAAAAGGGATCTAGCAGTGGAATGCAATTTAAGAACAGCTGTGAAGAAATTTTAGAAGCATAAGACTCAGTATGTAAAGAACATGAAATTAAAGAAGAATACTTGGAGTTTTTAACCTGGAATCCTGATTTATGATGATGTCAGTAATTACCAGAAAGTTTTAAAATTTATCACCAAGTATAAATTAAATAAAGTTGTTTCATGTTGCTTTGTTTTCTGATATTTATTAACAATCTGCTGATATTAATAATAAATTGAGTAATTTAAAGCTTTTATACATACAATCACATAATTCTATTGGCAACACTATGAGACAGGAAGTACTTTTTTTTATGTTGTATTTATGTGGTGATGAAACTTAAAAAATTTACTTAGGATAATATATGCAATAAGTGGCAAAATCAGGTTTTAAATTAAAGTACTCTTTCCTCACAGCCTGCAGTCTTCAGTATTATTTTCTGCTGCCTCTTAAATAAGAGTATCTTATATATATTGAGCATTTTAAATGGAACAGATATTGCCCTAAGCATTTAAAATATTAATTAGTTTAATCACATTATTGCTAGGAAAAAAATAATTTCTTTGAGACAAATATTACTTTTTTTTTTACACATTATCCTAAGTTATCTAGTATTTTATTAAATAGAACTTCTACAGTTTTCCAGGAAACTAGAGGAGCTAAATGTTTACCATATTAAGTAAATGAATAATAAAATGCTATAAGCCTACTTTAGGCCAGTCACAGTGACTCATATCTGTAATCCCAGCACTTTGGGAGGCCCAGGTGGGCAGATCACTTGAGGTCAGGAGTTCGAGACCAGCCTGGCCAACACAGCGATAAAGATAAGAGAGATTATCCTAGATAAGCTGGGGGGGGCATTATTTAACCAATGGAAATGCCTCAGAAATAAAGCTGAGAATTCACTGAAGAAAAAATTCTACTTGCAAACTGCAGCTTCAACTCATACTCAGTTTCATCCTGCCCTTCCTTATGGACTACCTATGAACTTCCTAGCCAGCCTTCAAAATCACATATGCCACTTCTTTCTAATAAGTTCCTTAATCTATGTATCTCCTACTGATTCTCTTTCTGTGTATCAAACCTTGTTGATACAGATTTTGATATCAGAAGTGATTCTAGAAAAACAGAATCTTAAGTTTCTTGAATTAATTCTTGGTTTCTGTTACTGTTATTCTATTCTGATTAGATTTAAAGAAATAATGACTCTATTTCCAGTAGTAAGGAGAGGACTGACAGTCCATGGCATGATGTGATAATACAGATAGGCAAAATATCACCATTGGATACTCCTAATCAAATACTTATAAAAGGTTCTGGGTGACCATATATTTGACAACATTTTTGTCAAACTAACGAGTATAATGAGATTGATTAGTTGCTCAGAACTGCACTGGAGAAAGTAGAAAAAGAATAAATTCAGGATTTCAAATTCCCATCTCAAGTTCTGCATAAACGAATTAAAAGCTTTTATGTCTGTCATAAATAAAACCCTTATCTCCTGTAGCCACAGGGCTGAAATTATTGAAGACCAAACCCACAGCCTCATCCTGAGAGTGGCTAAATTGCATCAGACATTGAATTCCCAACCTTGCAATGCATCTTCAGTTAAATGCAGGCATTAAATGAAAAGGAATGGGAGCCTGATAATTGGAATGGGAATACATGAGCAGAAATGATCCCACTAAACAGAGATTCTGGATTCTGTATTTTAGCTTGAGAATGTAAAAGGTCTTTAACAGTTTGTTTGGTTATCTGAAACATGGAGCAAAAAGCAGCCTACACTAAATCAAGATTAAATGCCAGAACTGCCTTGTTATACTGCAAAAGAAGACGTCTAAAGGTTTAGGGATATTGGAATGTTATAGAAGATTTATAAAGTAAAACCTGCTCACCCATACCAAGTGCATCCAGAGAATACATCTTTCATTATGACCATAAGAACATAAGTTGTGAGAGGAGTCTCAGTATTCTTGAAGAACTCTGTGGTAGCTCTTCTCTATAGGTCAAAGATAACAGTGGAAATTGCTACTAATGAGCGGAAATCCTTAAATGTAACAGGGTTAATAGCATCCCAGAGTGACACAGGCCAAGTGGGGGTACCTAATTACCAAAAACAGTGTGGTTATGGTTACCGTGATGGACAGTAAAGTCAAAGC
Source organism: Homo sapiens (assembly GCF_000001405.40). Lineage (NCBI taxonomy): Eukaryota > Metazoa > Chordata > Mammalia > Primates > Hominidae > Homo > Homo sapiens. The sequence goes on along the minus strand of NC_000004.12, from coordinate 136,305,919 downwards.
AGCAATCAGAATAGTCTGACTCACAACACCTATAGTGCTTGCTTCTGGACCTTGATGTAACTAGAAAACAGATAAGCAATATACTAATTTTACTTCATTTATTTATTTATTTATTTATTTTTGGACAGGCTCTATTGCCCAGGCTGGAGTGCAATAGTGTAATCTCAGCTCACTGAAACCTCTGCCTCCCAGGCTCAAGCCATCTTCCCACCTCAGCCTCTCAGGTAGCTGGGACTACAGGCGTGCACCATCATGCCTCACTACTGTTTTTGTATTTTTTGTAGAGTTCGGAGGTGTCTCACCTTGTTGTCCAGGCTGGTCTTGAACTCCTGAGCTCAAGCAATTCAGCTGTCTCAGCCTCCTAAAGTGCTGGGATTACAGGTGTGAGCCACCGCGCCTGGCCAATATACTAAATTCTTAATTGATATGTATAAATGAAAATGTCTGGGTCAAGAGGAGAGAGCATGGCTAAGAGCCTATCTGCTGGCTTTTACTTGCATGTTCCATCTACTGTGCTAGAGCCTGAATTACACCAAACAAAAATTTAGTGGTTCAATACACAACACCTATGAAACCCACCTCGGGAAACTCTACAACCAAGGAAACTATACAAAAGCTTGGCCCTCTAAAAGCACCCTGAAGTCAAGTGAACAGAAGTTTCACTTAAATCACCAAAACAGGGAATGATGGCTCCTTAATCTATTTTCAGGTATGAGTCAGTTTACGGACCCAGAACTTCTTGATTAAAGGGGAGGTTGGGACCCGTTGATTGAGGACTCTGCTACATTGCTAAATATTTATACTTTAATCTTTCTCTCAGCCTTCCCAAAAGGAAACTATGGACATTTATCAAGGTGACTGTGCAATGGGGAAAGGGAAGTAATCTGAATTCTGGGGAATTATTTGACACTGGGTGTGAAGTGACATTAATTACAAGAGACACAAAATGTTAGCAGAGTCCACCAGTCAGAACAGGAGTTTACAGAGAGCGGGTAGGCATTAAAGCTGTTGCTCAGGTGTGTCTTATACTGAGTTCAGTGTGTCCCCACACCAATCCTATAGTTATTGCACCTGCTCTTACAGATGTAGGTTCATCGCTTGAGCAAATTAACATATTTCCTGGTACTTTGTATGCAGCTATTAATCTGGCAAATGCTTTTTTCTCACTACCTGTTGATCGACAACAAGAAGTATAGTTTCAGTACCCTGTCTCAAAGGTATATCAACTTTCTACTCCTATGTCATAATTTATTTTAGAGGAACATTCATCATGTTTTTTTTTGACAAGTCATTATGCTGATCCATTATTACTTTGATGGTTTTATGCAAATTTGACCCATTGAGCAAGAAATGGCAGTTATTTAAGATTTATAAATAAGAAATTTATGTTACAGAAAGTGGAAAATTAATCTGACAAAAATACAAAGATCTTTCACTTCAGTAAAATTTCTAGGAGATCAGTGATGTATATGTAGCATGTCAAGATATACTTTTTAATAAAAGTATAAATTCTTGCATCTGGCTGAACCAAAAAAGAGGCACAATGCCAAGTGAGTCTTTTTGGATTTAGAAGGCCACATGTTTGCCATTTGAGTGTGCTATGCCAGCTCATTATTGAGAGATGTAAAAAATTGCTGAATTTGAGTGGGGTCCACAACAAAATAAGCCTTCTCAACAGTTCCAAGCTGCCATGCAAATTGATTCTATGCTTGAGCCATGTGATCTAGCAGATCCAATGATGCCTTAAATATCTGTGGTAGATCAAGATACTGGTTGGATCCTTTGGCAGGTGCTTACTGATGAATCACGGAAACGATCCTTAGGATTTTGAAGCAAAGCTCAGTTATCCTCTGTGGATAACTATTATCTTTTTGAGATACATCTTTGGCTTCCTATTGGCCTTAATAGAGACTAGAGACTAAATGTTTACCCATGAGACACTGAGTTAGCAAACAACCAGAGATGCCCATCATGAACTGGGTATTTTCTGACCCACCAAGCCATAATTTGCTCAGCAGCTCTCTATTTTCACATATGGAAGTGAAATGTATGAAATTAGCCTATACCTATGGCTTCCTGGGAAGTTTCTTATGATCAGTTGACCGAGCAAAATAAAACTCAGGCCTAGTTTATGTGATATGCAGGTAACATCTGAAAGTGGACAGCTGAGCATGATGGGTCATTCCTGGTACATCCCTGAAGGAAAGTAATAAAGTTGTTAGAACTTGCTTATACATTTTGCTTGGAAGACACAATTGCCAGAGGTATTAGTAGATATTGATTCATGAGATCTAGCCAATTGTTTGGCTGGATGATCAGGGACTTGGAAGATATTTAATTGAAAAAGTGGTGACAAAGAGGTCTGGGGAAGAAATATGTGGATCAACCTCACTTAGTAGGCAAATACTGTGAAATATTTTGTATCCATGTGAACGCTTATGAAAGGGTGACCTTATCAGAGTGGGATTTTAATAATTTTAGTAATTTTCAAATTAGTTTTAAAAATTACATGGATAAGATGACCTATCATAGCTACCTGTCATCCTCTTTTCTTAGCCATAACTGCCACTGCTCAATAGGTTCTTAAAGTGGCTACAGTGGCAAAGTTAGAAGTTATGCAACGTGAACTTCCTTTCACCAAGGAGAACTAGCTCCAGCCACTGCTGAGTGCCCAGTCTTCTAATAGCAAAGACCAACACTAAGTTCCTGATATGGCACCATTCCCCAGGATGATCAGCCATCTACCTGACAGGTTGATTATATCGAGCCACTCCTGCCATGGAATGGGGTAGCATATTGTTCTTACTGAAATAGACACTTAACTCTATTAGGTTGGTGCAAAACCTAACTTCAAAAACCGTAAATGCTTTTTCACCAACTTAATAGATACGTATTTGCCTTTCCTGCATTCAATGCTTCTGACAAAACTAGCATTCGTGGGCTTATAGAATGCCTTATCCACTGTCATAATATTACAAAAGGCATTGATTCTGACTGAGAAACTCACTTCATAGCAAAAGAAATGTAACAGTGAGCCCAAACTCATGGAATTCACAGGTTTTACCAGATGAATGGAGCTGACTTGATAGAACAGTGGAATGGCCTTTTGGAGGCTCAGTTATATAACAAGGTAGTCAGAAATTTTGCAATGCTGGGACAAGTTTCCCCAGAAAGCTCTGTGTGCTCTGAGTCAGCATCAATATATGGTGCTGTTTGTCACATAGCCAGAATTCACAGGTTTAGGAATCAAATAGTCAAACTGAGTGTGGCAGCATTCACTATTACCACTAGAAAGTTTTTACTTTCTTTCCTTATAGCTTTATGTTTTGTTGGTTTAGATATCTTAAAGAAAGAAATGCTTCCAAAAGGAGGCACAAAAATGAGACTGTCACCTGTCACTTTGGTATCCTCATGTCTCTGAATCAATAGATAAAAGGGACTTTCTATACTTACTAGGGTGATTGATCCTGACTTCTGAGAAAATATTGGTTTGCTATAGCTACACAGTGAAAGTAAGGAAAAATATGTCTGAAATACAGGAGAGCTCTTAACTCATTTCCTAGCATTGCTATGTCTTATGATTAAAGTCAGTGGAAAACTACAACAACCCAGCTCCAGCAGGACTGCTGATGGCCCACACACTTCAGTAATAAAGATTCAGATTACCTCACCAGGCAATGACCCACAATCAGCTGAGATACTGGAATGATAGTAGAAATGGTGGTTTATAAATATTAGCTATGAACCCACAATCAGTTGTAGACATGAGGACTGTAATATTTATGAGCATTTATTCCTTGTTTTTAATGAATATTTATATATATGCATATATATATGAAAAATTTCTTTTCCTTTCAAATCTCTTTCCATCTAACATGAGATATACTACTAACAGTTAACTTTACACCACAGTATTTAAGTTACAGGATATCAGGGAGAAAAGTAAACATTGTATAAGGACTATGATCCTTCTCTGAGGAAATGGCCTCCTTTACCTGTTGTTTCAGAGACATTAGGAGACCAAAGAGGCTTGTGACAATCTCAATTTTTAGTTCAATGGGATCATTATTGTGCCTCCTGGTGGAAGCATTTCTCTCTTTGGATTAAGACATCTAAACCTACAAAACACAAAGCCATAGCCATAGTGCACTTTTGGTTATACTCAGATAGTTATAACATGTTAGCTTGAAAGTATGACTTTGTTACTGTCTTTAATTGGAGATTAAGCTTGGTCTTAAAAGATGTACATGGATGTCAAGTTGACAAGTTTTGGACTTTAATGGTCAGTTTTATGAGTCAACTTGGCTATCATATCATACCTAGTTATTCAATCAAACACCTATACCTAGATTAGTATAATCAACATGCACAGTCAGTGGACTAAAAGATTTTCTTAGATAATCTGGTGGGTCGATTCAGTCAGTGAAAGTCCTTAGAATGGTACTGAGTTTTCCTGGAAGAAAAAGTATTTTACTGTTAGAGTGAAGCTTTTGCTTATGGTTGAGAATTTCCATCTTTTCTTCCTGATGTACTACTCTACAGATCTTTGACTGACTAGGGGGCTCTAGAATTGTTTAAGCCAAAACTTTACAATAAATCCCTTAATTTATATCTTCTACTGGTTCCATTTATCTGGCTGAACTATGACTGAAAATGTTAGTTATATATTTGGTGGCACATCTAAGATTAAACAATAACCCAAACATACAATGAAATTCCCTCCCCCAAAAATTTCATAGTCTAAGTATTAGACTGAGTTATATAGATAGACATATCTGTGCATTGGCTCATTTAAACTCATTCTGTAATTATTTCATTCCAGAAAAAAATAACCCGACACATTTATAGATCAATACAAATTTGAATAAACCTGACATCATTAATTTGCTTTAAAAAATTATTCTAGAAAAATATTAACTGAACCCAGTTAAGGCAACTGAGGGATATATGGAAAAGGTTTATACAAGTTAAGTGAAAATCAGACTTAATATTATAGAGATTACAAAAAATGAACCACATCAATGTGGCACACACAACATTAAGAATGATAATTTTACGATACCATTCGTGAGATAAAAAAGACATAGCAGGAGAATAAAAATTAGAGCTGAAGAAAATAACACAACATTGTGAATAGCTATGGTTCTTACATTAACGAAAAAGTGATGAGCTATAATATGCATGCTCATGAGCTCTTATCTATCCATGCCCATTAATCTCACTCAGTTTGAAGGATATCAAACCAACAACTTCTTAAGAAAGAAACACCAGTCTCCTGATAGTCTCTACAGTTTCTGAAATTTATATAGGAATCAACAGAGAACTTTGCAAAATGAAATTCCATTTGCTCTTCTGATCACAATTCGATATGAAAATAAAAGAGAAAAAGAAAAGAATATAAGGAAATTGAGCTAGAATAACACATTGAAAAAGAAAAAGCAGGTATCATCCCCAGAAACAATAAATACATCTTGAGAAGCAATATGGTGATTCTCTCTGTAAATGTACCTTCCTTTTTCTTAAAAACTGTGAAAGCAAAATCAAATGATTTGCTTTGTGCACCTGGCACCAGACACAATTAGTAATTTTTGAGTATCCTTAGGAAGCACAGCTCTTTTGGAGAATGTAAATGCTTTCAGCTCATTTCAATAAAAGACGCTCTGTCCCTTTTTGAGACAACGGATTTGGAGCAGTTAGATAAAACCAGGCTCCCTATGCTCAGAATGTGATTACAGCTGCTGTGTGGGCAGAGAACAGAGAGCACAGGGGCCCTAGACATCAACCTGAGCCCTGTGATATGCTTTGGGTTAACAAGGGGAAACTCAGGTGATGCTTCCAGATTTCACAAGGCAGTTAGTGCAAATAGGAATCACTGAACAAAGTGGGGCTGCCTTCATTCTCCAAGTCAGTTGCAACAATGGCATCAGGCTGCAGCCTCAGGTACACTGAATTGCTAATTAAGGTCTTAGCATATGGAACTTGCAGCAATCTCACTTGTGTATACTAAAATAGGAGAAAAATCTTATGAAACTACAGGAAGGTTTTTGCTTAGCTTTCTCTCAAAATGACAGAATAAGTTGTTGATGCTTTTTGTCTCTGCCTGCCTCTGAGTTATGAAAATAGCATTTTCAATTTCGCACATTATCTCTTCAGCTATCACGAACAATGCGGTCCATTTTCCTCAAGTTCCTTGTCATCAGCAACACCTGGAAGCAAGTTGAAATTTAGATTGTTTTGCTTTGTTTTATTTATGTTTACTTAGAATGTTACACTTTTCCGACAAAGAATTCTTTAAAATCTAAGATCACATTCAAATAGGTAAGCTATTTCTACTTCTTTTAAAGTTAAGTATAACATCAAAATTAATAGAACAGGGAGGAGCCAAGATGGCCGAATAGGAACAGCTCCGGTCTACAGCTCCCAGCGTGAGCGACGCAGAAGACGGTGATTTCTGCATTTCCATCTGAGGTACCGGGTTCATCTCACTAGGGAGTGCCAGACAGTGGGCGCAGGCCAGTGTGTGTGCGCACCGTGCGCGAGCCGAAGCAGGGCGAGGCATTGCCTCACCTGGGAAGCGCAAGGGGTCAGGGAGTTCCCTTTCCGAGTCAAAGAAAGGGGTGACGGACGCACCTGGAAAATCGGGTCACTCCCACCCGAATATTGCGCTTTTCAGACCGGCTTAAGAAACGGCGCACCATGAGACTATATCCCACACCTGGCTCGGAGGGTCCTACGCCCACGGAATCTCGCTGATTGCTAGCACAGCAGTCTGAGATCAAACTGCAAGGCGGCAACGAGGCTGGGGGAGGGGCGCCCGCCATTGCCCAGGCTTGCTTAGGTAAACAAAGCAGCCGGGAAGCTCGAACTGGGTGGAGCCCACCACAGCTCAAGGAGGCCTGCCTGCCTCTGTAGGCTCCACCTCTGGGGGCAGGGCACAGACAAACAAAAAGACAGCAGTAACCTCTGCAGACTTAAGTGTCCCTGTCTGACAGCTTTGAAGAGAGCAGTGGTTCTCCCAGGACGCAGCTGGAGATCTGAGAACGGGCAGACTGCCTCCTCAAGTGGGTCCCTGACTCCTGACCCCCGAGCAGCCTAACTGGGAGGCACCCCCCAGCAGGGGCACACTGACACCTCACACGGCAGGGTATTCCAACAGACCTGCAGCTGAGGGTCCTGTCTGTTAGAAGGAAAACTAACAACCAGAAAGGACATCTACACCGAAAACCCATCTGTACATCACCATCATCAAAGACCAAAAGTAGATAAAACCACAAAGATGGGGAAAAAACAGAACAGAAAAACTGGAAACTCTAAAACGCAGAGCGCCTCTCCTCCTCCAAAGGAACGCAGTTCCTCACCAGCAACAGAACAAAGCTGGATGGAGAATGATTTTGACGAGCTGAGAGAAGAAGGCTTCAGACGATCAAATTACTCTGAGCTACGGGAGGACATTCAAACCAAAGGCAAAGAAGTTGAAAACTTTGAAAAAAATTTAGAAGAATGTATAACTAGAATAACCAATACAGAGAAGTGCTTAAAGGAGCTGATGGAGCTGAAAACCAAGGCTCGAGAACTACGTGAAGAATGCAGAAGCCTCAGGAGCCGATGCGATCAACTGGAAGAAAGGGTATCAGCAATGGAAGATGAAATGAATGAAATGAAGCGAGAAGGGAAGTTTAGAGAAAAAAGAATAAAAAGAAATGAGCAAAGCCTCCAAGAAATATGGGACTATGTGAAAAGACCAAATCTACGTCTGATTGGTGTACCTGAAAGTGATGTGGAGAATGGAACCAAGTTGGAAAACACTCTGCAGGATATTATCCAGGAGAACTTCCCCAATCTAGCAAGGCAGGCCAACGTTCAGATTCAGGAAATACAGAGAACGCCACAAAGATACTCCTCGAGAAGAGCAACTCCAAGACACATAATTGTCAGATTCACCAAAGTTGAAATGAAGGAAAAAATGTTAAGGGCAGCCAGAGAGAAAGGTCGGGTTACCCTCAAAGGAAAGCCCATCAGACTAACAGCGGATCTCTCGGCAGAAACCCTACAAGCCAGAAGAGAGTGGGGGCCAATATTCAACATTCTTAAAGAAAAGAATTTTCAACCCAGAATTTCATATCCAGCCAAACTAAGCTTCATAAGTGAAGGAGAAATAAAATACTTTATAGACAAGCAAATGTTGAGAGATTTTGTCACCACCAGGCCTGCCCTAAAAGAGCTCCTGAAGGAAGCGCTAAACATGGAAAGGAACAACCGGTACCAGCCGCTGCAAAATCATGCCAAAATGTAAAGACCATCGAGACTAGGAAGAAACTGCATCAACTAATGAGCAAAATCACCAGCTAACATCATAATGACAGGATCAAATTCACACATAACAATATTAACTTTAAATATAAATGGACTAAATTCTGCAATTAAAAGACACAGACTGGCAAGTTGGATAAAGAGTCAAGACCCATCAGTGTGCTGTATTCAGGAAACCCATCTCACGTGCAGAGACACACATAGGCTCAAAATAAAAGGATGGAGGAAGATCTACCAAGCCAATGGAAAACAAAAAAAGGCAGGGGTTGCAATCCTAGTCTCTGATAAAACAGACTTTAAACCAACAAAGATCAAAAGAGACAAAGAAGGCCATTACATAATGGTAAAGGGATCAATTCAACAAGAGGAGCTAACTATCCTAAATATTTATGCACCCAATACAGGAGCACCCAGATTCATAAAGCAAGTCCTCAGTGACCTACAAAGAGACTTAGACTCCCACACATTAATAATGGGAGACTTTAACACCCCACTGTCAACATTAGACAGATCAACGAGACAGAAAGTCAACAAGGATACCCAGGAATTGAACTCAGCTCTGCACCAAGCAGACCTAATAGACATCTACAGAACTCTCCACCCCAAATCAACAGAATATACATTTTTTTCAGCACCACACCACACCTATTCCAAAATTGACCACATAGTTGGAAGTAAAGCTCTCCTCAGCAAATGTAAAAGAACAGAAATTATAACAAACTATCTCTCAGACCACAGTGCAATCAAACTAGAACTCAGGATTAAGAATCTCACTCAAAGCCGCTCAACTACATGGAAACTGAACAACCTGCTCCTGAATGACTACTGGGTACATAACGAAATGAAGGCAGAAATAAAGATGTTCTTTGAAACCAACGAGAACAAAGACACCACATACCAGAATCTCTGGGACGCATTCAAAGCAGTGTGTAGAGGGAAATTTATAGCACTAAATGCCTACAAGAGAAAGCAGGAAAGATCCAAAATTGACACCCTAACATCACAATTAAAAGAACTAGAAAAGCAAGAGCAAACACATTCAAAAGCTAGCAGAAGGCAAGAAATAACTAAAATCAGAGCAGAACTGAAGGAAATAGAGACACAAAAAACCCTTCAAAAAATCAATGAATCCAGGAGCTGGTTTTTTGAAAGGATCAACAAAATTGATAGACCGCTAGCAAGACTAATAAAGAAAAAGAGAGAGAAGAATCAAATAGACACAATAAAAAATGATAAAGGGGATATCACCACCGATCCCACAGAAATACAAACTACCATCAGAGAATACTACAAACACCTCTACGCAAATAAACTAGAAAATCTAGAAGAAATGGATACATTCCTCGACACATACACTCTCCCAAGACTAAACCAGGAAGAAGTTGAATCTCTGAATAGACCAATAACAGGCTCTGAAATTGTGGCAATAATCAATAGTTTACCAACCAAAAAGAGTCCAGGACCAGATGGATTCACAGCCGAATTCTACCAGAGGTACATGGAGGAACTGGTACCATTCCTTCTGAAACTATTCCAATCAATAGAAAAAGAGGGAATCCTCCCTAACTCATTTTATGAGGCCAGCATCATTCTGATACCAAAGCCGGGCAGAGACACAACCAAAAAAGAGAATTTTAGACCAATATCCTTGATGAACATTGATGCAAAAATCCTCAATAAAATACTGGCAAACCGAATCCAGCAGCACATCAAAAAGCTTATCCACCATGATCAAGTGGGCTTCATCCCTGGGATGCAAGGCTGGTTCAATATACGCAAATCAATAAATGTAATCCAGCATATAAACAGAGCCAAAGACAAAAACCACATGATTATCTCAATAGATGCAGAAAAAGCCTTTGACAAAATTCAACAACCCTTCATGCTAAAAACTCTCAATAAATTAGGTATTGATGGGACGTATTTCAAAATAATAAGAGCTATCTATGACAAACCCACAGCCAATATCATACTGAATGGGCAAAAACTGGAAGCATTCCCTTTGAAAACCGGCACAAGACAGGGATGCCCTCTCTCACCGCTCCTATTCAACATAGTGTTGGAAGTTCTGGCCAGGGCAATCAGGCAGGAGAAGGAAATAAAGGGTATTCAATTAGGAAAAGAGGAAGTCAAATTGTCCCTGTTTGCAGACGACATGATTGTTTATCTAGAAAACCCCATCGTCTCAGCCCAAAATCTCCTTAAGCTGATAAGCAACTTCAGCAAAGTCTCAGGATACAAAATCAATGTACAAAAATCACAAGCATTCTTATACAGCAACAACAGACAAACAGAGAGCCAGATCATGGGTGAACTCCCATTCACAATTGCTTCAAAGAGAATAAAATACCTAGGAATCCAACTTACAAGGGATGTGAAGGACCTCTTCAAGGAGAACTACAAACCACTGCTCAAGGAAATAAAAGAGGAGACAAACAAATGGAAGAACATTCCATGCTCATGGGTAGGAAGAATCAATATCGTGAAAATGGCCATACTGCCCAAGGTAATTTACAGATTCAATGCCATCCCCATCAAGCTACCAATGACTTTCTTCACAGAATTGGAAAAAACTACTTTAAAGTTCATATGGAACCAAAAAAGAGCCCGCATTGCCAAGTCAATCCTAAGCCAAAAGAACAAAGCTGGAGGCATCACACTACCTGACTTCAAACTATACTACAAGGCTACAGTAACCAAAACAGCATGGTACTGGTACCAAAACAGAGATATAGATCAATGGAACAGAACAGAGCCCTCAGAAATAATGCCGCATATCTACAACTATCTGATCTTTGACAAACCTGAGAAAAACAAGCAATGGGGAAAGGATTCCCTATTTAATAAATGGTGCTGGGAAAACTGGCTAGCCATATGTAGAAAGCTGAAACTGGATCCCTTCCTTACACCTTATACAAAAATCAATTCAAGATGGATTAAAGATTTAAACGTTAAACCTAAAACCATAAAAACCCTAGAAGAAAACCTAGGCATTACCATTCAGGACATAGGCGTGGGCAAGGACTTCATGTCCAAAACACCAAAAGCAATGGCAACAAAAGACAAAATTGACAAATGGGATCTAATTAAACTAAAGAGCTTCTGCACAGCAAAAGAAACTACCATCAGAGTGAACAGGCAACCTACAACATGGGAGAAAATTTTTGCAACCTACTCATCTGACAAAGGGCTAATATCCAGAATCTACAATGAACTCAAACAAATTTACAAGAAAAAAACAAACAACCCCATCAAAAAGTGGGCGAAGGACATGAACAGACACTTCTCAAAAGAAGACATTTATGCAGCCAAAAAACACATGAAGAAATGCTCATCATCACTGGCCATCAGAGAAATGCAAATCAAAACCACTATGAGATATCATCTCACACCAGTTAGAATGGCAATCATTAAAAAGTCAGGAAACAACAGGTGCTGGAGAGGATGCGGAGAAATAGGAACACTTTTACACTGTTGGTGGGACTGTAAACTAGTTCAACCATTGTGGAAGTCAGTGTGGCGATTCCTCAGGGATCTAGAACTAGAAATACCATTTGACCCAGCCATCCCATTACTGGGTATATACCCAAATGAGTATAAATCATGCTGCTATAAAGACACATGCACACGTATGTTTATTGCGGCACTATTCACAATAGCAAAGACTTGGAACCAACCCAAATGTCCAACAATGATAGACTGGATTAAGAAAATGTGGCACATATACACCATGGAATACTATGCAGCCATAAAAAATGATGAGTTCATATCCTTTGTAGGGACATGGATGAAATTGGAAACCATCATTCTCAGTAAACTATCGCAAGAACAAAAAACCAAACACCGCATATTCTCACTCATAGGTGGGAATTGAACAATGAGATCACATGGACACAGGAAGGGGAATATCACACTCTGGGGACTGTGGTGGGGTCGGGGGAGGGGGGAGGGATAGCATTGGGAGATATACCTAATGCTAGATGACACATTAGTGGGTGCAGCGCACCAGCATGGCACATGTATACATATGTAACTAACCTGCACAATGTGCACATGTACCCTAAAACTTAGAGTATAATAAAAAAAAAAAAAAAAAAAAAAGAAAAAAAAAAAAATTAATAGAACAACAGGTGGTTTGTGCCTCATCACCATAGAAAAAGTGAAATATTAGCTGTGCATACATTACAAAATAAATCTAATAATAATTAATCTAAGGCAAAATGAATGATGGCAGAAGATGTATTAGGTAAAATAGTTTTAGAAAATGTGTAAAATGAAAAAGGAATACCTTTAAATGTTTGAAATTCAGAAGTATTAGGTCAGATTCTCCCAAGCTGTATTCTCTAAATTGCTTTAGATTTTATACTTTAGTCTTTCTCCCAGCCTTCCTGAAAGGGGACCCAGTAGACATTTACCTATGTTGATTTTGCATTAGAGAAAGGGAAATAGGCTGGGCATGATGGCTCATTCCTGTAATCCCAGCACTTTGGGAAGCTGAGGCAGGTGAATCACCTGGGGTCAGCAGTTCGAGACCAGCCTGGCCAAAATGGTGAAACCCCCGTCTCTACTAATAATATAAAAAAAAAAAAAATTAGCCAGGCATGGTGGTGGGCACCTGTAATTTCAGCTATTCAGGAGGCTGAGGCAAGAGAATTGCATGAACCCGGGAGGCAGAGGTTGCAATGAGCCAAGATTGTGCCATTGCACCCCAGCCTGGGCAACAACAGCGAAACTCCATCTCAACGAAAAAACAGACTTTCGAGTGATCACCATCTCCCACAATACAACACTCTGAATCACTCTTTTGGAGTTTCACAATGCTGAGTTGTGTAGAGGACCTTAAAGAAGTCCTGCAATTTCAAATTATAAAACAAACAAAATAAACCATTATCCAATCTCTGCCAAACTGTTTTTTCTTGTTTTAAATTCTTAAAGCTGCCTTTGATAAATAATGAATTATGAGGTCAAATAAGATTATCACTGAAGTCATACTTGGTGGCCAGGCATGGTGGCTCATGCCTGTAATCCCAGCACTTTGGGAGGCTGAGACAGGTGGATCACTTGAGGTCAGGAGTTCAAGACCAGCCTGGCCAACATGGTGAAACCTCTTCTCTACTAAAAATACAAAAATTAGCTGGGCGTGGTGGTACGTGCCTGTAGTCTCAGTTACTTGGGAGACTAAGGCAGGAAAATCACTTGAAACCAGGAGACGGGGGTTGCAGTGAGCTGAGATCATGCCACTGCACTCCAGCCTTTGTGACAGAGTGAGACTCCATCTCAAAAAAAAAAAAAAGTCATAGTTGGTTATTACAATATAATTATAATTATTTTAAATTTACTTTTTCAATACACAAAATTCCAGATCCATCTCTGTCTCCAGATCTATGTTTCACACTGTTATGAAAATACTGGAAAGATACTCTTACGATTATAAGAAGAAAACAGCCAATTAAAATATTTGCATAAATAAGGAGACTTCTCAAAGAACTAAAAATATAACTACCCTTTCATTCATCAATCTCACTTCTGGGTATCTATCCAAAGGAAAGGAAACCATTATATAAAAAAGACGTCTGCTCTCATATGTTTATTGCAGTACTATTCACAATAGCAAAATCATGAAATGAACCTGGGTGTTCATCAACAGATGATTGGATAAATAAAATATGGTGTATATATACTATGAAATACTATTCAGCCATAAAAAGAATTAAGTCATATATTTTGCAACAACATGGGCAGAACTAGAGGTCATTTTCCTAAGTAATAGAACACAGAAAAAGAAATTCAAATACTTCATATTCTCACTTATAAGTGGGAACTAAACAATGGATATGCATGAACATAAAAAAATGGAATAATGGACATTAGAGACTTCAAAAGCTGGGAGGATCAGAGGCTAGTAAGGCATGAAAAATTACCTATTGAGTACAAGTTCGCTATTCAGGTGATGGGTACACTAAAAGCCCAGACTTCCCCATGATGCAATATATGCATGTAAGAAACCTATACTTGTACCTCTTAAATATATAATAATAATAATAGAAAAAAATATTTGCACAAAGTGATAAATTCTATACTATATTTTTGGTCCAATATAATATAAAATAATAAGGCAAATAATAATGAAATTCTGCATGTGAAAAATAGAGTTGAGTGTCAGAGAGTAGACAGTGGACTCTGGAAAGATGATAAGAGTTGGTGTTACAGGCAGGGCTGACTGTGTCCCGGCAAATGTGCTTTCACTTCCTATGCAGTACTTGTTGCATATACTTCAAATATCTCACCTAGTTACAGGGAATGGACAAATATGTCTAAATATACTTAGATATAAGAAAACATGGTGTATTTATATAGGCCCGGACTTACCTATATCTGATGAATCTAGAGAGATACATTAAATACTAAAATCAGAGATTAAAATTTGCAACTTTGTAGCAGCTGGTGAGACAACTCTGAGTCAACAGCTATTGACTCCCTTGGTGATCTCCAACCTCAATTTAAATTTAAAAGCCACTTAGATGCTCAAATTTATTACTTTTTGTGTCCAGTGCAGACCTCTGCCTTGCAGGCACCAGCTTGTATGTTCAATAGCTTATTTGTGCTCTCCACTTGAATGTCTAATACTTAAAATATTTTCATCTAAGTTCTACAAAATTCTGCTTAACCTTCAGTCTCCTTGATGTAAATGATGGCCACTCCTTTTCAGTTGTTTATCATCAAAACCCATCATTCCTCTCTCCTCCCTTAATCTCAACCCAATATCCCATTTGTCAGGAAACACTGCTGGCTATATATTCCAAAAATATCCAGAATCCAACCACTTCTCACCACCTCCATCATTCACCCTAGTCCAAGACACCACTTGCTGGAGTTTCTGAAAAATTATCTGTGACATTTTCCTCTTCCAGGCTCCTATGAGGATTGCTCTTCTTTATTTTCTTTGAAGTTAGACATGACCACATGGCTTCCACTGGATAATAAAATGTAAATGGTAGTGACATGAGAAACTTCCCTGTGGGAGCTTTGAGAGCAGGTTCATGTTTCACCACATCCCCTTTTCCTTTCTTATGTGTTGAAGAAGCCACCAAGACAGAGATTCTGCCAGTTTGAGCTCCTTAGTGACCATGTTGAGCAAAGGACCCCTGAAACCTATGTTGGACATATATGTGTTAGAAATAACTTTTGTTCTGGTAGTTCGCTGAGGTTAAGAAATTGTTTGGTCCATTAGCACACTATTGTGATTGATATTATAGATCCTAACTGGGGCCCATGCCTCCACCCAGTCTATTCTTAAAAGAACAGTCAGAGCAAATCTGATATAATGGAAGACACTTTTTTTTTTTCTGCTCAAAATCCACCAGGACACATTACTTCTCTCTGAGTTAAGGACACATTTCTAAATATGACATACATGGCCCTATGTAGTCTGACCCCTATTACCTCTGATCTTATTTCTCTTTACTCTTCCTATAGCTCACTCCACTCCAGCTGTAGTCACTTCCCTTTTCTGTTATAGCAAGGCAGGCACATTTGCTCCCCCTCCTGAGGCTATGCTCTGGTTCTTTCTGGACCCTGAAGTGCTCTCTGCCAGACAGCCCCAGGGGGTCACTCCCACTCTTCCTCCAAACCATTTTTTAAATGTCACCTTCCCAGGAATTTTTTTTTCTATCTCTTTTAAAATTACAATCTCTCCTGTACCCTATCATGCTTATGAATCTGATCCATTTTCCTGGAACTATTTCATTCTGCATAAAATTTATCAGTATGTGTTTATGGTTTGCTGACCATCTCCATTATAATGTCAACTTCATAAGGGTGTTAATTTTTTTATCTGTTTTGGTCAGTAGTGTATCACCAGGGGTAGAACACAGCTTGACACCATTTAGTAAATAACTGATTACAAAAATGAATGAATATCATTGTGAGAATTTATTTTTAGCTTATTCTATGTTACATATCCCATTGAATATATTCTTAAGTAGAATATTATTGGAGTTTTTTTTTTTTTTTTTTTTTTTTTTTGAGAAGGAGTCTCGCTCTGTTGCCCAGGCTGGAGTGCAGTGACGCGACCTCGGTTCACTGCAAGCTCCGCCTCCCGGGTTCACGCCATTCTTCTGCCTCAGCCTCCCGAGTAGCTGGGACCACAGGGGCCCGCCACCAAGCCCGGCTTATTTTTTTTGGTATTTTTAGTAGAGACAATGTTTCACTGTGTTAGCCAGGATGGTCTCAATCTCCTGACCTTGTGATCCGACTGCCTCGGCCTCCCAAAGTGCTGGGATTACAGGCATGAGCCACCGCGCCAGGTCTATTGGAGTATTAATAAGGCTGTGACTCTCAAACAGAAAAAATAAGATAACCATTTGTGTGTATGTACATTTCCGCTTATTAAAAAGGATATATGTTGAAAGAAAAGTCTCCGCTCCTATTGATAGATACTAAAATCCAGATCATCACCTTGGAAATGTTAAAGGGTGTTATTCATGGTTTGAGAAAATAATTGGGAAAGAGTGGTATTTACTAGATGGGGTAAATATTGACCTAAGTATAGAATAAGCGTTGTCAATCTTATCAAATATGAATCTATTTTACCAATCAATATTAATTATGTTTAATCAAAAATTAATTACTTCTAATTCTATTTAGCTAATATATTTTTTCCCAATCAATTTACCTTGCTGATCCTACCCTTGTTAGAAACTTAGTAAAGAAACTACCTTTAGTTGTTTCTGTGATCTTTCATTCAAGTTTTTTCTTATCCTCAGCATCTCCTTTTCTTTATGAGAAAGTTTATAGTTACTAAAAATAAAAAAAATTTAAAAAAAAATGCTGACAAACACATCAGATGGTAAGTGGAAACAATAATCCATATCTAGGTGAAACAAGTTATTCAACTTTAACATATTTCTAGGTGTTTCTCAGAATAGAGAAAATATAATGACTCCGGGGGAAAAAAAAGATATTTCTCTTTTCACTCATAAAGTCACATTTTTTTCTAAAAATTTATGACATCTTTTAAAAAACCGAGGTTGAAATGTTCACCTTCCAGGAATAAACTCGGGGGATTTGAAATTTGATCTCCTGTGTTGTATTTGATCAACATATAACCTTTCATTACAGATGAACAACTTGGGACCCAATTGCTTAGCCCATGGTGGTGACGCCAAGTTTCAGTGTCCAAGTTACAAATGGAATCCCAATTTACGGACTGTTAGTGAGCAATTTACCATGCCATAGTGACTCTTAAAATTTATTAGCCAAATATAGTGTGTGGTTTTGCATGACATACCTTATTATTTTTACTTACTGTTAATAGTCATCTTTTAAAAATCAAGTTTATTGCTACCTAATATACTTTTAGACCTGAATGTAATTTTTGAGAGCATCAGGATGAATGCACATAACCTCCATAAGCTCTTAGGTACCTAATCATCATACAGTGGAAAATTAAATTTTAAGGTGTGCATTTTCAACCCCAATCTTGTGGAACCACTTCAGTAAACCTTAAAGAAAATGAATATATTCTCTTACTCTCATTCACGGATTGTACAACTGCTGACACTGAGGTTTGACTTGGAAGTACCTTAATTACTAAACCATGAAAAAATGACTTACATTCATCTTATTCTTATAGTTGATTATTAAAATATTAGTTAAAACAAGGTTAATAAGAGCTAATTCGATCGTCTTGAACATACAAATGGAATAAAATAAAATTAGTTGAATAAATATAAATTTAGTTTATTTTATTGAAATAAAATTAGTTGAATAAAAATAAAATGTATTATAAAATTATAATTTAAATTATAAGTCTGTGAAGTTGACTATTCTTACATAAATTATTGAACCTGATCACTTATTTTTATTTCTTCACTTGTGTATATTAATTGTTTTTAGAAAGAAACATGCCAGTAAGTTTATTACCCAATAAAAGTAACTTGCTTAGAAAAACATAAAATTAAATAGAAGCAAGATAAAGTAGACTTTTTTCCCTCTTATATAAATCATTCCAAGACAGGAACAATTGAAGATAATAAATTGTTAATTTGTGAAAATTTTATGACTTTTACCAAGAAAATCTGGACGATTACAAAGGAAGTGATACAGTCATATCCATATTGTGTAATACATTTTTTTCTGCATATGCAAAGATTTTATTGGGGAATAATTTCCATAAAGATAAACTTTCTAACTTGACAATAAGTATAAGTGTGTTTTCCTATTATTCAATTTTTGCAGAATTACCTACCAAAAATGTATGAATATTACTGAAACTTGCTTATTATCCACAAAATGTCCTCTAATTTGTTAATTAGGATAACTTATAATTAGTGATTTAGAAGTCTTCTTTATAATTGTAGCTACAAATAGTCATTAATATATATTTAATAGAGAAAACAGTATGTTATTCTCTAATGGATTCCTGTTCTGCATTCCTGTATCTATCCATAGAATGTTAATAGATTATTAAAAATAAGAAGAAAAATTGTGCCAAAATATTTTAATTTCAACTCAAATATGTTGTTTGAAAATAAATTTAAAATGTCTAGTTTAATATCTATCAAACATTTTAAATGCTTACATAGCCTTTAGCATCCCTTAAATATTACTTTCAACTTATTTCAAATTTATAGTTACTCATATTAAACTAATAATAGATGAAAACACATTTGGCATAAATGTATATATATTCATAGCATATTTAAAAAATTAATAAGCTTTATTTTTTAGAGCAGCTCAGGTTTACAAAAAAAAAAAAGTACAGATTTATCATATTGTCCCCCTTTTCTCCCACTGCTGTTTTCCCTATTATTAACATCTTGCATTAATGGATTACATTTGCAACAATTGATGAACTATTAACACTAGTTTATTATTAATTAATATGCATAGATTACTTTAGCATTCACCCTTTGTGTTGTAAAAGTCTGTGGGTTTTGCTAAATGCATTCTTGTATCCAGGATCAGAGATCCACACAGAAGAGTTTTTTTGCCCAGAAAATCCTCCCTCCCCCACAACTCCTGGGAAGCACTGATCTTTTTACTGTCTCAATAGTTATGCCTTTTTAAGACTGTCATATAGTTGGAATCACAAAGAATATAGTCATTTCAGGCTGGCTATTTTCACTTAGCCATATTTTGTGCATGATAGCTCACTTATTTTTATTGCTGAATATTTTTCCATTGTATGAATGTATTTTATGAATGTTTGTTCATCCACTCACCTATTGAAGAATTGCTTGATTATTCCCAATTTTTAATAATGATGAGTAACTGAAAATTATTGTTCAGGTTTTTGTGTAGATATATGTTTTTGACTCCTTTGGGTATTACATACCTAAAAGTGCAATTGCTGGCTCATATGGTAAAACTACTTGGCATTTTAAGAAACTGCCAAAGTGTCTTGTGAAATTTTGATATCATTTTCCATTTTCATCAGCAATGAATACAACTTCCTGTGGCTGCATATACTCACCAGCATTTGTTGTCAATGTTTTGATTTTCACCATTCTAGTAGGTATGTAGTAATATTCCATTGCTGTTTTAACTTGCATTTTCCTAATTACATAAAATACTGAGCATTTTTATATGCTTATTTGCCATCTGTACATCTTCTTTGATGAGGTGTCTGTTGAGCCCTTTTGTGCACTTTTTGATTGTGTCATTTGTTTCCTCATTCATGACTTTTAACAATACTTTGTGTATTTTGAGCACCTTTCCTTTATTAGTATGTTTTACAAATATTTCTTTTAAGGCTGCGGCTTGTGTTTTAATTTTCTTATCATTGTCATTCAAGTGCAGACATATTTAATTGTAATGAAGTCCAACTTATTTTTTTCCTGAACTGTGCATTTGGTGGTGTATCTAAATACTCATTGTCACATATAAGGTCACCTCGATTTTGGCCTGGTATCATCTAGAAGTTTTATACTTTTATACCTTATACTTAGGTCTGGGATCCACTTTAATTTTTGACAGTATGTAAGGTCAGTGTCCAAAGTCATTATTTAATTTTTTTTGTATGTGGATATTCAGTTTTTCCAGCACCATTTGTTGAAAACACTAACCTTACCCCATTGGATTGCTTTACTATTGAGTCAAATATCAATTTATTACATTTGTGTGGGTCTATTTTTGGACTCTATCAGCTTGGATTGGTGTGCTTATTATTTTGCAAATACTACACTGTCTTGAGTGCTGTTACTATACAGTAAACTTGTAACCAGGTAGTGGGAGTCCTCTGACGTTGTTCTTCTTCAAAGTTACCTATTCTAGATCTTGTGCCTTTTCATACTAATTTTAGAATCAGTTTGTTTCCACAGTAATTTGATGAGATTTTGATTAAGATTTCTTTGAATCTGTAGTTCAAGTTGGAAAAATTGACATATTTACAATGTTGAGTAATTTGTATTCGCAAATACAGACTCTCTACAATTATTTAGACCTTCAATTTCTTTCATCAGAGTTTTGTAGTTTTCCTCATACAGCAGTAATATATTTTTGCTAACTTTATACCTAAATATTCCAATGGTTCTGATGCTAATGTAAATGGTGCTGTGTCTTTAACTGCACATCTAATTTTGTATCGCCAATATATAAGAAAGCAATTGACTTTTGCATATTGACGTTCTGTCCTGAAACCTTACTATAATCACTTACCAGTTGTAAGAGTATTTTTACATTTGTTTGTTTTTGATTTTGGGGATTTTCTACATGGACGATCATGTCAATAATAAAACTGGCAAAAAATAAGCCAGTTTTATTTTTTCCTTTCTAATCTGTATATTTTATTCTATTTTCTTATTTTATTGCTTTATCTAGAGCTTCCAATGCAATGTTGAATAGGAGCTGTGAGAAGACAGACACTTGCATCCTTTTTTCTGATTTAGAGGGAAAGCCTCTAGTTTCTCATCATTAAGTATGATGCCATCTGTTAGTTTATTGCAGACGTCCTTTATCTAAAGTTGACAAAATTCCACTGTATTTCCAGTTTGCTGATTTTTTAAAAATCCTGAATGGCTGTTAGATTTTGTCAAATCTCTTTAGGTAATCTCGTGTCCGGAATTTATTCCTTCCAGTGGGTTCTTGGTCTCACTGACTTCACGAATTAATCTGTGGACCTTTGCGGTGCGTGTTACAGCTCTTAAAGATGGTGTGTCAGATGTGTCCTGAGTTTGTTCCTTCTGGTGGGTTCGTGGTCTTGCTGACTTCAGGAGTGAACGCAGACCTTTACAGCAAGTGTTACAGCTCTTAAAAGTGGTGCAAACCCAGTTAGCAGCAGCAAGATTTATTGTGAAGAGCAAAAGAACCAAAGCATCCACAGCACGTGACTCACCTGAGCAAGTTGCCCTGCTAGCTTGGGTGGCTAGCTTTTATTCCCTTATTTGGCCCCGCCCACATCCTGCTGATTGGTCCATTTTACAGAGCACTTATTGGTCCATTTTACCAAATGCTGACTGGTCCATTTTACAGGGTGCTGATTGGTCCATTTTACAGAGTGCTGATTGGTGCTGTTACAATCCTTTAGCTAGAGGGAAAAGT
Organism: Homo sapiens; assembly: GCF_000001405.40. Lineage (NCBI taxonomy): Eukaryota > Metazoa > Chordata > Mammalia > Primates > Hominidae > Homo > Homo sapiens. Next base: position 136,284,067 of record NC_000004.12, on the reverse strand, counting down.
TCTCCAAGTCCCCAGGGGACCCAGAAGCCCAGCTGGCTTCACCTCTCAATCATGTGATTTTTCTCCTTAGCTGTTGATGTGATGAATTACATTAATTAATTTTCAAATACTGAACCAGGCTTGCATAGCTGTAATAAATTCAAGTTGCTTATGGTGTATAATTATTTTTATTCATTATTGGATTTGGTTTTCTAATATTTCATTGAGGGTTTTTGCATCTATGTTTATGATAGATGTTAGTCTGCAGTTTCCCTTTCATATTTCTTTGTCTGGTTTTGGTTAGGGCAATGTGGCATCATAGAATGGGTTAAAATGTGTGCCCTTTGTTTCTATTTTTTGAAACAGATTGTAGATAATCTAATTAATGTCATTTACTTCTTAAATGTTTAGTAGAATTTACCAGTAAAACAACTTGGTCCTGATGCTTTCTACTTTGGAAAGTGTTAATTATTGATTCCATTACCTTAACAAGTACAAGCCTATTCAGATTACCTATTTCTCCTTGCGTGAGTTTTGGTAGATTGTGTCTTTCAAGGAATTGGTCAATTTTATCTAGCTAGCTTATCAAATTTGTGAGCATAGAATTGATCATTATTTCTTTATTATCTATTTAGTATATCTATCATATTTATTTTAAAAATATATAATGGTTGCCCTAGTATTTGCAATATACATTGTGATTAATCCAAGTTCACTTTTAAATAACATGATACCACTTCACAGGTAGTGCAAGTGCCTTATTATGGATTATACCAAATTCCTCCCTCCCAGCTCGTAAGACCTTGTCATTTATTTCACTTATCCATAAGCTATAATGGTGATTATTATTTTTCAATGAACTCTTATCATTTAGATTAATTAAGCATCAGAAAAATAAAAGGCTTTATTTTATCTTTATTTCTTTTTAAAGCTTATTTTTTTTTACAAATGTAGTTTTAAGTTTCTGATGTATATTATTTTCTTTCTCTTTGTAGAACTTCTTTTAATGTTTCTTGTGAAGTAGTTCTACCAGTGACAAATTTGATCGATTTTTCTTTGAGATAGTTTTTATGTCTCTTCTAATTTTGTAAGATAATTTTATTGGACACAGAATTCTAGGTTTGTGGTTTTATTATTTTAATTATTTAAATATTTTACTCTGCTCTCTTCATTCTTATATGTTTTCTGAAGAAAAGCCTGATGTAATTCTTATTCTTACTTCTCTATAGGAAATGTATATTTTTTTAAGATTTTTCTCTTTATCTTTGATTTCTGCATTTTATTATGATGTGCATAGCTGTAGATTTTTTGGCATTTATTCTCCTTGGTGTTCTCTAAGCCTCATGGTTCTTTGGTTTGTCATCTGTCATTGTTTCTAACTCTCTTTCTTCTACTGTTGATATTGTCATAATACATATTATATGTCTTTGTAATTTTCCCACAGTCTTGGATGTTATGTTCCTGTGGATAATTTTTCTTTGAACTTCACTTTGGCAGTTTCTATTAACATATCTTAAAGCTTACTGATGATTTCCTCTATTGTCTACTGATGAGGCATTCATCATTTCTGTTAGAGCATTCTTGATTTCTAACATTTATTTTGATTCATTTCTACATTTTCAACTCTTGCTTACATTACTTATCTGCTCTTGCATGTTGTCCACTTTATTCTTTAGAACTCTTAGCACATTAATCATAGTAGTTATTTAAAATTCCTGGTCTGATAATTCCAAACTCTCTCATAGTCACGTCTGGTTTTGATGCTTGGATTGTCTCTTTAGACTGTGATTTCAGCTAAAGGATACCAGAAATATTTTATTGCCAAATACACTTCCTTGCCATATTTTGAGATAGCTATTCAGAGGGTAGACAGACAACAACAGCCCTGAAAAGCAGCCTTTTGTGGAGGATATTTACATTTGTAGAGAAAAGTCTACATCAGTGACTTAAACAACAAGACTTTCTCTGAGATCTCGCCTTTGTTCAGATCTCAGATAAATTAATTCAACCACAGGCTACCTTCTTTTCTAAGGGCTGCTACCTGTAAGACTTTATCTGCATAACAAGACCACCTTTGCTAGCCATGCCTTTTCTCTTCTCTCCCTCCCATAACCTGCCTTGCTGAGCACCATGCCCTTATTTTTAACCTCAAGATAGTATAAAAGTGTCAACCATGTAGCCCCCCTCTTTTGAGTTTTTGTGTTTTAACTCCTACACACACGTGTATGTTAATACATTTTGCATGCCTCTTTTTCTATTAATCTGCCCTTTGTGAGTTGATTTTCAGTAAATCTTCAGAGGGCAAAGTGGAAATTTTCTTCTGGCCCTGATACTGCCTTTTAACATGCCTTGTAATGTTATTGTAGTTATTAAGAAATTGTTGTAGGTAAATAGGGGAAAAGGAGTCCTTGGGAAGTTTTCATTTTTTTAAAGCATCTCTGGAAAAGTTTTTTGTAAAGCCCTGGCTCTTAGAGCCAGGCGGGCAACCTTTGATATGCAAATGCCAGCCATTAGAAACTGGGTCCACCCAAACATGGTGATTCCCACCTTCTTCTTCTTGTCCTTGCCCCACATGTGCCTGGCGACATGGCAGCCCCCACAAAACCCCAGTGTGTAGAACTTCATGGCGCCGTGCATTTGCATATTATAAGGCTAGGGTTGGAAGGCCAGTTTTTTCGCGGGCTACATGAATGACATGCCTGGTCAAACCAATCTCCTGAGCCCTATGCAAATCAAACACCACCTCCTCCAGCCTCTACATATACCTGGCTCATATCCATGGCAGGTGGGGTTCCCGCTCTGTGCTTTGGAGACCCCCTGCCTCTGTCTCTGTACAGGGGAGCTTCTTCCTTTGTTCTTCCCACTTCTATCTTGCCTACTAAACTCTGGGCTCCTTAAAACCGCTCCACGTATGTCCGTGTCGTTTTGTCTAAGCTGGCATGAGGACCAAGAACCTTGGTGTTCCTCCACTCATCGGAGCCGTATCAGTAAGTTTTTGTTGAAAGCCAGATGCCAGGTAAAAGGAACTCAGGTAAACAGGCCTTTAATTTGATATTTTATATTTATCTGGCTAGGGATTAGGTAGCTGTGGTGTCAAAGGCTAAAAAGATACCTAGTGTTTTTACGAGTATTTTGTGAGAATTCTGTGAGATTAGAGAGAAAAAGTTTGCTCCTGTGGCATCAATTATCTGATGGATCAAAGGAGAGTTGTTGATTTTCAATTTGTTCAGCTTTTCTCTTACTGTGCGGACTGGAGTGGTAACTTACAAGCTCTTTATGTCTAACTGAAAGTTAAAAAAAAATACTATTTTGGTCGTTTTAGTGAGCAAGAACTATTCATTAATTTATGGAGATGAAAGTAGCACAATACATTTTGGAAAGCACAAAATTCTGTAGGATCTCTGGAGCTGTTAACATAGACGGTGTATCAATGTAGGTGGACAAGTATATACCCAGGGGTTTTTATTTAAGCATACAAAAATCATGTTATATGTATTTTATATCATTCTGAAGGAAGTGGAGGACCACCGAAAGACCTTTAGTAGTGGGGTAGCAAATTTTAAATGTCCTTGTTATGAAAATTACTTTGAAAACCATATAGACTCTTAATTCCTAAATATCTTTTGAAAAATTGTGATACTAATAACTGAAAAAGAATTACCTGCTGTCTTAGTCCGTTCGTGTTGCTATAACATAATACCATAGACTGGGTAATTTATAAAGAACAGAAATTTATTTCTCTGGAGCTATATAGTCCAAGATCAAGTTACTGTGAGGTTCAGCTCTCTGGTGATGCTGCTGTCTGCTTCAAAGATAGTGCCATAATGCTGCATTCTCTGGTGGGGAGGAATGCTGTATCCTTATGTGGTGGAAAGAATGAAAGGGGGAAAAGAAGCCAAACTCTCTTTATCAAGCCCTTTTATAATGGCATAAATCTGTTTATGAGGTTGGAGCCTTTGTGACCTAAACATCTCCCAAAAGGCTCCACCTTGCAACAGTGTTGCTTTGGTGATTAAATTTCCAACACATTGAGGACACATTCAGACCATAGCATCTGGTAAATTTGTAAAAGAATAGAGATTTCCAGGGCTCATGGCTGTTGAACTTTCTGTTATATTTGTGCTGATATATGTGTAATTTTAATAGGACTCTCCTTATAATTCTGATGAATATATGAGTATTATATTTTTCTGTACTACTTGTCTTGTAAATATTTTGTACGTGTTTATTCTTCTTACTCTCCATAATAGACCATATATTCCTTGAGAATATTAAAGAAGGTTATTCCTCTATCCTCAGCATGTAGATTTTACATTTCTTCTTCATATAAAATAAATTGTCAGAATATTTATAATTTAGCATGAATTAAAATCATTAGCCCTTCTTCTGTTGCCCAGTGAAAAATCTGGAATCTTGGTATATGAGAGCTCAGTGAATGTGAAAGTTGTCCTGAAGTAGACTAAAAAAAATATGTACCTTAATAAAAGAAAGTTTCCATAATTTTCTGCCTATTAGAGGTAAGGGGAATGAAAAGAGTAGTAATTTCAAACTAACTCTGTTCCCTACCATGCATATACCTCCATCACTAAGGTCGAGAAGAGATTCTGAAAAGTGTTTACAAGGATTGGCTTCCATTTATGTCAAAACCATCATCTTCTGCCTTGAATTCCATCAAGCCTTTTCTACCTGTCTATGTCATTCATCAAAAGTCATATAGTACCAGTTCAGCATTTATTTACTGCACTCTATAATTCTCCCTCCCCACACACACACACACACACACACACACACACACACACTTATTCCGTCCTGTTGCTCCATGTCTTCCATTGTAACTCCTTAAACCTGTTTATGGTGTTCTCTGAAATTGTTGAGCAACTAGGTATGTGGTGTATTCTGGTAGTAGGCACCAGTATCCTAGAACTTTAAAAAGATTAGAATTTATTCTTGTTATTACTGTTATTTTCTGCATACTGCCTAGCTTTGGGCATATACCTGCCTTCTTCTTGACTCTTAAAATTCCTCTGGAATATCCCAATATATTCATATTAATGGGTACACGGGTTCTATATCTGAATTCGCCATAGTACAATACTCTAATCTTTGGAGATGCAGTGGGTTCAATTATTTGCCACAGGTTGAGCTAAAATAGTCTGTGGTTACTCCATTCCTGAGGATTGCTGAAATACATATCCCTTTGATTTGACCTCTTTCATGCCACCTTGAACTGTTATGACAGATGGTCTATTTTAAAGCATGGCAAGGAGGGATTTGGTTTCAAGCTTCCCTGTTTGTTTGGGTTTTTTTGGCGCGGGGGTTTCTGTTTGTTAATTCTCAGTACTGCCCACAGTCCTCTAGTTTCTGATTTTAAGTATCATTTTTTCATAGCACAATCTTTCTGCAAATTCACTGGATCACCACATTCGTAATAGTTCATGATAATACGACACATTTGGTGCACAGACATTTCCTTGATTAACAACTACTTATTGTTTTGTGGGGCACTTGGGGAAGTATGTCCACTGGGCTTCTAAAGAACATATACATCTACTGTTGTAACTTTCATTTCTTTGCTATCATCTTATTTGAAGGATCTTGACTAACTCTTCTCCATGCCTCCAAAGTGCATTTTTCCCTTATTCCTTGGCTGAACGTTTATCGTGTTTAATGAGTACAAAACAAACAAACAAACAAACAAAAAACATGGAAAAAGTGAATGAATTACATCAATTATGCTTAGAGCAGATGGTTTTAGTTTGAGCTGCCTGAGTCCACTACTAATTCTACTAGTGCTGACCTCATCTCACCATCCAGGTGGTTTATGGTCAAGACTTCCTTATCTAGGGAATCATATTTTCATACAAAATTCCCTGGTGAGTACTTATGAAATTAACCAGTACTTCCCACCTACTCTCCATTTAAAACAGAAACAAAAGAACAGCACAATAATATTTAGAGTTTAGCACTTAGCATTCAAACAGACTTACTGAGAGGTCTTTTATTTTGAGATCACTGATTACAAAAGAAGACCTTAGTCATTCCTTTAACTTATGGGCTTTTGTGACCTCTTATCCTTGCAATTCACATCATAATTGTGTGCCCCAGACACAGTTAAAATGCTCCCAACTTGTCATTGGTACATGGAAGATTAATGAAAGCTAAACATATGTTAACAGTTTGCTTCAGTAATAAGGGAAATTATTTTCCCATGAGCATACCCTAGTAATCACATCGTTCTGAGTCAGAGAAAATTTTCTGATTCTGAGACTGGTAATGCCAGTAACCTTTTTAAGATGGTATCAACAATTTAGGTAAAAATAGAATGCCACGAGAGAGTATTAGAACATTCTTATTCTTGATATGAGTAGCTTTTTCAAAATGTTGAATTACAAAGAGAACTTAAGCCAATTTAAGTTATCAAAAATGAGAGTCATATTCAAGTAGAAAAGTAACCAAAATATGTGTATTTTTTAATCCATTGTAAGTCAAACTGAAATTAGGCATCAGAGAACATGAATCAGAGTTATTTTCTGAATAGAACAATAATATTAAAACACATTTTTATAATGTAAAATCTTATATTTTTTGCTAATCATCAAATAATTGAGGTATCATAAGTACATTTGTAATTTTTAAATGTAAAATACATGTTTTAACTTACCTCTAGTTTTTCTGTTGTTTTCATCAATTGAATTGTTTAATAACAATTATAAGTCTTGATAACAATAATATTTAGACTAATGATAAAACTCTATTTTCCTGTGGTTTGTCATAAAATAGTCAAAATAAGTTGCTGTATTCTTTGTATAAATATTTTCCCCTTCAGTATCATTTTTTTAAAAAAATTCTGTAATAAGTGTTCTGTAGTTACTTTTTATCATTTTTAACAGATTGCATAAGACTAAAGGAAAAATTCCTATTTATAATACCAACTAGCAATTAAGATTTACAGCAAAGAGAAAATATTTTCAATAAAATCTTACAATAGGCCTTTTAAAAAATGTTGTATTTATTTCTTTATCTCCAGAAGATGTGAGCAACAGACTGCAATACAGTAAATAAGTTGGAAAAACTCCAAGAATATTCCAAGTAAACATTTTTTTTTTCTAGCGCTAGGTTGCAATTAGCTAACATACTAAAGAATTCCTTCTAAAAGCATCTTGCATAACTTAAAAGATTTTCTCTTAAAGCATATTCATGCCTGCAGGCAGAGATCTGGCTATAGGTGTTTATCTGCTTGTCTTCAGTAAAAATGAAACAAAATTAAGGCATTTTTTTTTAAAGCAGCATATATTAACCTTCTGTCACCTGAAAGAAAGAAGTCTGAAAGCATATGTAACTACAGATGGAAATACATTGGCGAGATTTTTCTGCTGAAGGCCGATCTCAGTAAAATAGACTGGGCTGTTTGTGTTTAAATTGGAAAAAATAGGGAAAAAATAAATAATGACACTAGGTAAAAATTAATAAAACTGTACTTTCTACAAAAAGATGGTTTTTGTTTGCTTATATGTCTTTATTTGTTTTGTCCTTTTCTTTCAGAGCCTGAGTTTTATTTTTAGTATTTTTTGCTGGATTACTAATTTCCTCTACCCACCCCACCAAAAAAATTTTTTTTGAGAGGTGAATGTATATAAGGTGAACAGAAAAGACCTACATATCAAATGTTTTGCCAGTGGTGTTGGTTAAGGGGCCAACATTTTTTTTGCATTGGTTTCAGAATAGACAGCTGGACAAAAAGTAGAGGATCTGACTCTCCATGAGACATTTTAGTAATATGAAGTCATTAATTTTATATCACCTAAATCTTATTCTATCTGAATGTTTGTCTCAGGTTAGCTGGTATGTATTTCATTTTTGCAATTATTCTTCGGTTTACTCATCAAAAGAACAAAGAGTGAAATAACATAAACCTTATCAGTTAAAGAAGTGGCATTAGTTATTTATCAAATCTTTTTAAACATTAAAATGCATTCATTTTTATGCTGAGACACGTGCAATCGCCAGATGATGAACTAGAACACTACTAGCATACCAGAACACTTCCCAATCCCAAATCACACTGCCCATCCCAAAGGCAGCTACCATCCTAAATCCTACCACTCCAATGTAGCAACAGGCAAAACACTCCAGTGTAGTGCTATCTAAGCACGAAGAAACTGTTCTCCTGTTTTATCTTCATTGTATTCTATAGTTCCCTGACATTGGTTTCTGTGTGGTGTGTGAAATAAGGGTCAGCTCTAAATGACGGAATAGTAAATTGTTATAAAATACATAGACACAGACTGACAAGAGGACATCATCATTTTTTAAAGGAGTAACAAATTAGTATATTAAGAAGGTAAGCTTTGATTCGGATCATGATGTCTCCAGAAATAGTTGGCAGCAAATATCAAGAAACAACCAAGGGACTAAGAATAGTGAGAAGTTACCCTCACTGTTATGTACAATAGGAGGGAGAAGTATTACGAATTGACAAAATCTGTATTTGTGAGGGAACGGTCTCCAGAAATGAGTTGTGTCTGTGAGGAGAAGAACACCACCAATGCCCAAACAGCAGCCTGGCAGAGACAGTGTGGGAGAGATGAAAATTTTGCCAGTGCTTCATTTTGCTGGGGACAAGATGTGCCACTTGAAACCCCTCTAGAGATCAGTTTCTTGGGAAGAGAGTACAGCAGAGATGGTCACAGAACAAATTCAAAGGGCTGGATAAGCACCACAGGTTGTAAAGGAACGACAAACAAAAAAAAATAAGAGAAAGCTTTGGATATGGAAAAATTGAATGAATAAGATTTCTTGAAAGAATATCAATAAAATGAATTGACTGAAATATCTGGTCTATTAAACAAAACCAAAATAAGAGTGGAAAAATATGTGAGGAAATCCAGACAATGAAAGAAGACTATAGAGAGCTTAAACTTTTACAATCAAAATTATAAGTCTCTTAAGTTGAGAAATGTAGCATTTGGTAATATTTGTGTACTTGAGAAATTCTGCTCTGCACGGACTATACTAAAAAAAAAGGAACAGCAGCAGAAATACTACAAAGAATTCAAATGTGATTGTCCAGGCATAAGAAGATTACTGTTGCCAAGGATATTGGCTATAGAGGTGAAAACTGTCAACTGAAAATAAATCGTGGAGGACAAAGCTAATTGGCATATTTAAGGTTTTAATGTGGTGAGCAAGGAAAGAGAAACAAACAGAAAACATGGAGTAAAAATGATGAGCTTACTTTTTGGATAAGCACTCTATGAAATTTATTATAAATAAATGTTAATGGAGGGTTAAAGACTGAACCTACTCGAATGCTTAGAAGTATGGAATATTGAAAGTTCACTGAGTTAAGGAAGTCATCAACATTATCAAATACAAGAAGATAAAAGGGGAAAATTGTATAGTTTTAAGAGTGCAATAGTTGGTGACTCATTTCTTCATATTTATTAATGCATTCATAAATTAAAATAGGCTGGTCACAGTGGCTCACATCTGTAATCGTAGCACTTTGGGAGGCTGAGGCTGGAGGATCACTTGAGTCCAGGAGGTTGAGGATGCAGTAAGTCATGATTGCACCATTCCACTCCAGGCTGAGCAAGACAGTGAGACTGTCTCAGAAATAAATAAATTAATTAAAATAATTTTATTAATTTACTCTAGTTGAAAATCGTTTTTACTAGTTTAGCCCCTGCTGTTCTGGTGCCCACACATAATGGTGGGAGGATGGATAAAAAAAAATAGTAAATAAACAAACAATTTGAAATATTATTTTAGAGAGAATCTCAATTGTGCTTGGTATTAAACCTACTAAATTGCTGATCTATGAAAAATGTCTTTACTTAAAAGGAATCTATATAATTTTATTTGCAAGTAAATTTTTGGTAATTATTCTTATATTTACTTTTGTTTTTAGTGATATAAAGTTAGAAGTATGTTTAGTTGAAAATTCATAGTTGATGTATATTTAGAAATAATTTTTCCTTTTTTAGGAACTTAACAGCATTTTTTTTTCCTTCCAAATTTATTTTAGGTTCAAGAGGTACACGTGCAATTTTCCACATGGGCAAATTGCATGTCGTGGGGCTTTGGTGTACGGGACATTTTGTCATTTAGGTAATCAGCATAACACTCAATAGGTAGTTTTTCTATCCTCACCCTTCTCCCATCCCCCACCATGTAATAGGCCCCAGTGTCTCTTGTTTCCTTCTTTGTGTCCGTGTGTACTCGATGTTTGGCTCCCCCTTTTAAGTGAGAGCATGTGCAATTTGGTTTTCCGTTCCTATGTTATTTCACTTAGGATAATGGCCACCAGCTCCAAACATGTTGCTGCAAAGGACATTATCTCATTTTTTAAATAGCTGTGTGGTATTCAATGGTGTATATGTACCACATTTTCTTTATCCTTTAATTTATTATTGCTATAGAGAAGGCATAAACATAGGGATTTAAAAGGACCTATTAAGAAAAAAATTCATCTGATCATTCCTAGGAGAGGCTCAAAGAGTGAGAAAAAGACAAATGCAAGAATCTGGATCCAAGAGTCCTGGCTAGCAGACGAGATAGGGATGGTGGAGCATTAACACATGTAAGAAACACTGAGACTATGTTTGTAGAATTCTCATCTTATTTTATAGAAAATCTGTATTCTTTACTGTATCTAATACAGTACGTGTAAGCTCCCAGATATGTTCTCTTATCTTAGTTTAAGCTTTACAGAGCCCTGTGTCTTTCATAGATTGTAATCTGGTGCTATAGTTTCTCTCTCTCTCTCGCTTGCTCTGTCTCGCTCTCTCTTGCTCTCTCTCTCTCTCCTCTCTTTTGCTCGCTTTCTCTTCTGTCTAAAAAAGTTCAAAATAAATTTATGGGCTATTACATGGAACAACTGGGACCTTGTTACATTGTAAGTGACAACATAATTCAATGTAATAATTATGAAAAAAATTTTTGCAAAACCTAAAAAAAAAGTATACTTCATGAACCAACTAGCCTGCTTATATATTTGTATATCATGAAAAAAATGAAGTACTTACGTCTAGCAACAAACATGAATGAAAATGTTCTTAGCTGATGATCTTAACAGGCAAAACCTGGAAACAATCTGAGATACATTATTAGAATGGTTAACTATGTTTTAATTGTTCTATTTTTTGTTTTATTGTTATTTTTTTTACAAAGGAATACTACAAACAATAAAAGCATTGATGTACACAAAACTAAAGAAGAAGCATATAGTCATTATATTTTATTTAAAGTTGCAGTTGCAGAAGAATGTGTTCTGTATGATTCTGTACACAAAACTAAAGAAGAAGCATATAGTCATTATATTTTATTTAAAGTTGCAGTTGCAGAAGAATGTGTTCTGTATGATTCTATTTATGTGGAGTCAGACACAAGCAATGCTATTCCATGGTTATAACAGTTTAAAAAGTAATTATATTTGAGGAGACACTAAGTAAGAAAGTAAATGAAGCAGCCATCCATGTTACTGGGGATATGCCATATCTTGATCTATTATTATATTTTATTATATCATATATAAATATATGTGAACATATTTGATATATATTATATATGTGTATATATGGATATATTTGATAGATATGTGTATATATTGTACATACATAATCATCCACATATAATATGGATTCATTCTTATCCACTTTGTAAAATCCATTTACTATACAATTATGTATAGTAAAATTCACAAATTCATCAATCTGTATAATCAAGATTTGTGAATTTTACTCTACGTAATATATACATTAAAAATCAATCACAGTCTCAATCTTCAGAGCATTATGAGAAACTTGAAAGCTCTTTAGATCAGTCCACATATACAGCATGGTATCGTAATAAAATGTTTTTCTGAAAGTTTGCTAAAAATTGATTTTGTATTTTGTCATTTTTGAAATATATTATTTACTAGACATACTCTAAGTTATTTTCCTTCAATATTTTAAAGATGTGTCATTATCTTCCCACTTTCATTGTTTCTGAAAAGAAATCTGCTGCTATCTTCTTTTATACATAACATTTTTTTATAGCTGCTTTTAGGATTTTCTCTTTATCAGTGATTTGTGGCAATTTTATTATGATAGAATGTGAACTAGAGTCATTTAATTCATGTTTCTTATGCTTAACATTGTGGAAATTGTTAGATCTGTGGACTTATAGTTTTAATCAAATTTGAAAAAAGTTACTTAAGTATGATTCTTCCACCCCCACTTCCCCCGCTTCTTCTTTTTTTTTTTTTTTTTTTCCCTTTACACTCTTTTAGGTACTCAATTACATAAGTGTATTAGGCTTCTTGGCATTGTTTCAGAGACCATTGGAACTCTGTTAAAATTCTTTTTGAGGAGTGTCTTTTTTTTTCTCTGAGTTTCATTCTGGGTAATTTCTATTATATCTCTAAGTTCACAAGCTTTTCTTTAGGAAAGTTTAATTGATTGTAAATCTTATCCAGTGTTTCCAGACATTACAACTTTTATCTCTAAAATATGACTTGAGACATATTTTATACCTTCTGTTTCTATATTTAACATGTTCGACCTTTCCTCTAGCTTTATCAGCATATGAAATTCAGTTATAGTAACAATCTTACTGTACTTATCTGATAATTTTAACATTGGTGTCACTTCTGGATTGGTTTCAAATGATTGCTTTTTCTCCTCATTATGGATATGTATTTTTTGGCTTCCTGGTAATTTTTCACTGAATCTTATTATTTTAAATTTTATATTAGTGAATACTAAATAATTTATTTATTTTTCTGTTCTTGAGTTTTGTTCTGAGATTTAGCTAAGAAAACATGAAAAGAGTTTGATGTTTTTAGATCTAGGTTTTGTAAACAAGATCAGGCAGTGTTTGTTCTAGACTTAATTATTCCCTACTAGTAAGGCAAGATCTTTCTGAATATTGTGCCTCTGAATTAGGTTTCCAGTGTGGTTGGTGGTAACAGGCACTATTCCTATTCCCGTGTAAGCTCAGGATACGGTTTATATCAGCATCGTTCTTTTATATCAGTAGATCTCTAGCTGTCTGAGGTTCTCTCCCTTCATGAGTACTCTGCCCTGTGATTCCTATGCACCCTGAACTCAAATTCTCCATTCTATCTCCTCATCTCAGGGAATCCAGCTAGTTCTGTCTGAGTTTCCCATTCTTGCACCTTGGCTTGAAACTCTTTCATGGATGTTAGGTTGTACAATCGTATAGCTCATTTGTTTCCTGCATCTCAAGGATAACTAATAATCATTGTCTGATGTCCATGAAATTGTTGCTTTATGTATTTTGCCGATTTTTTAAAGTGTATCAAGATTAAATCTAGAAACAGAAGTCAACGTATAATATTGGTGATGAAGATTACCACAAAAATATGTTACTCAAGACAGATATTATAAAATTGTTACCCGAAATAGTTCTAGAAGTTAATTTGTCAAATACTGATTTTATAAATAAGAACGTTTATATAAAATATTTAATGAGTTGAGTACATTGATTTTATTCGAGAGTTGGATTAAGGATTCCTACTTGGGGTTCATAGTTTTTTGTGGTTTTTTTTGTCTTTTTAAATGTTTGTTTTGGTTTTTTTATAGCTATGGCTCATTATCTCTTCAGTTTGGACAATTTTGTTTCGGTTTAGGTTTTGTTTGTACTTTTTTTGTTGTTTTTGTATCTATGTCTCATTATTTATTCAATTTCAACAATTCTCCATAATGATCTCCTAAACTATTGCTTTCAATCTATTTGCTTTCCTCACCTTCTGATAGTGACATACAAATGTGCTTGATCTTTTTACTCTATTCTTTCTATATCTCTTTCCCCTCTTTGGAATTGTCTACAGTTTTGTTTCTCTCTAATACTTTCAGTAAAACTCCTTCTTACCAATCGTCCGTATTGCCTATGCTCTCTTTGTTGTATCTCATATGCTACTAAATTCTGTAATTGAGTTTTAATTATAGGTATAATTTTTGTAGTTACAGAATATCTACTTATTTTATAAAACTTATTTGACATTCTAATAGAGCAATGTTTGTTTTCTGAAATTCCAAACAATTGTTAAATAATTAGAATTTTAAAAACAAGACATATTCTCAGTTATCTGAAGATAACACAGTAAACACTGGTTGTAGTTGGAAGCATGTATAAAATTATAATAAAAATTACTTCAAAAGTCACTTTATTCAGTATTGCTATATCAAATATTTTACCAAAATAGTTCAAAAAATATGTTAAAATGCATTTACCATAAATTAGGAAAAAATTGAATACATGTTGTATTAGTTCTCTATGGCTACTATCAGAAATTACCACAGACTTGACTTAAAAATAATTTTATTATCTTACAGAGAAGATAGAAATCCAAAATCGATTTTACTAGACTGAATTCAATGTTAGTAAGGCTAGTTCCTTCTGAAGGCTATGAGAGGAGAATCAGTTTCCTTGTCTTTTTCAGGAAAATAAAATGTGGGTGCATATAATTTTGTCTGTTATCTCTTTTTCAGTATTCAATGTACATCACTCCAAACTCTTGCTTCTGTAACCACCTTGATTTCTCCTAAATGTGACTTCTCTTGTTATAATGATTGTTGCAATTACGTCAAGGAGAACTATATAATCAAGCAAAGTATCCTTATTAAAAATCCCTAACTAATTTTATTTGCAAGGTAGTCCCTTTTGGAATATGAGATAACATTTACAGGTTCTGAGGATCATATTGCAGACATATTTGAGGCTATATTTAGAATATATTTGTGGACATATAGGCTATTAATTAGCCTATAGTGCATGTCTTGGTAATCTGGGTACAATGATCTTATACTAGAGATATAGTTGGAATAGCAACTTATATTTATTATATAATATAATTTATTTCAAATATGAGTTGCTATTCCAACTACAACTCTAATATAGTATATTAGATCTAGAACTAGTATATTTCAGTTTATATATATATATATATATGCCAATTTTCACAAATATAAATTACTTTGGATTACTTTAAATTATTTCATGTTTTCCTATATACACTATTTTTTCTTGCTGGTTTGGCTATATGTATCCTAGTCTTACTGAAATAGCCTATATTTCTTTAAAAATAGTACTGTATTTGTTTATGGATCCTGGCTTACCGCATCAGCTTTATAGTAATCTCCTCATAACTCTTGTCTGACTCAGTAAACATGGTTTAGAATAAAGTCAAATAGGTGATAAAAAACTTATTTAAGAAAGATTTTTAAGAAACTTAAATTTGAAGTATAGGACTTTGGCTATACCAACTTCTTGACACCAACAGTGCTCTTCAAACAGTCCTAACTTTTGTAAGTGTTAAGAGCAACATATATATTTCAGATTACTTGATATTGATTTTGATAGAGGAAAATGTTAAATACTAGATGCAGATGAATGACTTGATTATAAAGGCAAAGAGATGTATTATTATTAAGAATAGCCTAAGAGCAACATGGATTCATTCTCCATCCTGCAGAGCAAACATATTAAACAGATTAAAAAAAATGAAATGACATAATACAATAAATCATTAAAAATTAGCATAATGATTAAGGAAAAGGAAAGTCACTATCTATAACAAGTGAACAAAATAGTATATAAAATGAAGAGAAATCTCTTCTTACATTCAGCTTTCACAGGACATCATTAAAACAGCAAAGCATTTTATTGCACATAGGTTTGCAATATAATGAAAAGGTGAAAATAATGGATAATAAATTATATATAAAAATAAAGTAATATTCTGAAACTCTTTTCAGTATCCTGGCAATATATTTAACACAAATTATTTAAATCACCAACCTATTTAATCTCATTGCTTATTTTTAAACATCAGGTTTAGGCAAGTACCCAGAGTAGTGCTGTGAGTTGAGAATTAGGTTCAGGAATGACCAAAAGGAAACTTCAGCTGCTATTAGCCATAGCAGCTAATCTACAAACTATAAATTATTTTAAGGGAATATGGTTTAAGGTTGTGTCGATTAAGACAGTAGAAGCAAAGTAAAAATGAATTTCTAAATTTGCAAACTATGGCCTTGAGTTAAGAAGGAGAAGAAGGAGGAAGAATAGCAGAGGGAGGAGAGGAAGGATGAGGAGTAGAGGAAGTAGAAGAAAAAGATGAAGACAAAGACAAAGAGAAGGGAGAAGAAAAAGAGAGAAGAAGAGAGAGGGGAAAAGAAAGAGGAGAAGAAAGAATTTGTAAAGGTTTTGGCTTGAAGTGATATTCCTGCCTTGGTCAGTAGGTGTTATCATCAGGTCTAAATTAGAGTTAACCTTTTATTTAATGAATTACATAGAAGGCTGAATTAGTGTTTTGATTAGAACTTTTTTCTTCTGTGGCAGTAATTTTTGTAAGATTACTAAATTCTAAATGTGTTTTAGTTAGTACTTTGCTTCCTTCCCTGAAAACAGACTTGGCTTCATAAAAACTCAGGAAGTTGTTGGCATACATGTATTTTCTTGTGTTGGGAAAAGTGATGGTAATAAGATGCCCCGAGTTTTCCCTTTTTTCTGTAACTTCTCTTGAATCAGGTCAGATACTTATGTAACACTTTCAGGCTGACCCATTCTTTCCCTATTATTCTTCTTCCACAATTCCTGCCAAAATAGTTTAGAATGAAAAGTGGAAGGTACTTTGGGTAGTTTCTCAATTAAGGCATAAAAATATAAAACTCATCTATAATTGTAAAGATAAAAATATTAAAAATCAAAAGAAGTATAAAATTATAAAAACTGTTTAAACAGTTTTAACATTTTTTACTAATATTCAGAACTAGATTTAAATTAGATTACTCTTTGTAGTTGGTTCAAATAATTATAAGCACTTTTGTTTATAATGATCTTCATTCATTATTTTAAAAGGGGTTATTTTTAATAATAAGATAAATACATGGATATACTCTTAAACATGGATATACTCTTTCAGGGAAGTCCAAATGGACTACTTGCATTAAAATTCCAGTCAAATCACTGAGAAATCATGTAACCCTGTGCTATTTACTTACCTTCTCTAAACTAAAAATATTCCTTCCATATAATAAATATAAATATGACATAATCTTTATAATTTTCTTGTTGCTTAGTATAATATTGATAAATTTTCTATATATAACCAGGAAAATTTAAAAGTATGCCTTTTGATTAGTTTTTAAGACTTTAAAATCAATTGAAACTACCTTTACCTCTTTCCATTAAACAAACTCAGGAAGCATAGCAAGTGATTAATTCAATAAACACATATTGTAATAAAAAAACTCATTCACTCGACATTCTGAATAGACATATGCAATGAAAATTTAATGCAAATATGTAAAATATCTATGCAAATATAACAATAGTCA
This sequence comes from Homo sapiens, assembly GCF_000001405.40. Taxonomy (NCBI): domain Eukaryota; kingdom Metazoa; phylum Chordata; class Mammalia; order Primates; family Hominidae; genus Homo; species Homo sapiens. The sequence continues at coordinate 136,266,743 of NC_000004.12, read as the reverse complement.
TTGTATTATTGACACATTTTTCTGAACCATTTAAAAAGTCTGCATGTATTCTATCATTGCGATATTATAAAAAGAAAACTGTAAATATAGGTTAAATATGTAATTAATTTACTAAAGTATGTAACAATATATAATGCTCTTTTTTATATAAAGCAGTAAATAATTTTATTAGATAATTTATTAATTTCAGCTCATTAGGTAAAAGTAATGAAATAAAAGATGTTCTCAGAAAACAAAATTAGAAAATTACATTGTCATTTTCCTCTGATTCTGATTGAACTGAAATATGAAATAAGTATTTGGCTCTACTGAGCAGTTATTTTTTACCATCTTTCAACAAAATGTATACAGAAAAGTAAATTCCCTAGAGCTCGTGATGACTGCCTGCACATTTTTCACTATATTAAAAAGGATACTGTAAGAGAAAGACATTTGCATCAGAGAAATGACTACAGAACAAAACAGAAAAAAAATATTCCTTATATGTCATCACAATTGATAAACAAATTCAGGTAAAAACTAAACAACTGCACAAATGTAAATTTATTAAATTTCTTTAGGCATTAATTACCTGAGTTAAAATGTCAATGTCATAGAATGAGTCAAAGGAAACAGACATCTAGTGATTTCTGGTAGTTGTCCAGCGGAATATCACTAATTTCAATTTTTCTCTCTTTTTTTTAAAATTCAAATTATAATTTTATATGTGCAAGTATGTGTGCAGCTTTGGTATAAGGGTACATTGCATGATGCTGTGGTTTGGTCTCCTATTGACCCCGTAATACCCAATAGGAAGTTTTTCATCTCTTCCTTTTCTCCCACCTACCTGCTTTGGGAGTCCCCAGTGTCTATTCTTACCATCTTTTTGTCCATGTGTACCCAATTTTAAGTTCCCATTTATAAGTGAGAACATATTGGTATTTGGTTTTCTCTTTCTGCATTAATTACCTTGGAATAATGGCTTCTAGATGCATTCGAGTTACTGCAAAGGACATGGTTTTTCACATCCTTGGTTAGCTGTATTCCTACTTTTGTTTCTTTTTCTTTTTTGTAATTATTGTAAATGAAATTGCATTCTGGATTTGGCTCTTGGCTTGCATGTTACTAATGAATAGAAATGATAATAAGTTTTGTACATTGATTTTGTATCCCAAAACTTTACCAAAGTAATTGATCAGGTCTAGAATTCTATTGGCAGATCCCTTAGAGTTTTCTAGGTATAGACTAATATTGTCAGCAAAGGGAGATAATTTAACTTCCTCTTTTCCTGTTTGAATGCCTTTTATTTCTCTCTCATGCCTGACTGCTCTGGCTAAGACTTCCAGTACTATGTTGAATTGGAGTGGTGAGAGAGTACATCCTTGTCTTGATCCAGTTTTCTTTCTTTTCTTTTTTTTTTTTTTTTTTTTGATACGAAGTCTCACTCTTGTCACCCAGGCTGGAGTGCAATGGTGTGATCTTGGCTCACTGCCACCTCCACCTCCCAGGTTCAAGTGATTCTCCTGCCTCAGCCTCCCCAGTAGCTGGGATTATAGTTAGCCGCCACCATGCTCGGCTAATCTTTTGTATTTTTAGTAGAGACGGGGTTTTGCCATGTTGGCCAGGCTGGTCTAGATCTCCTGACCTGAGGTGATCCATCCATCTCTGTCTCCCAAAGTGCTGGAATTACAGGCACGAGCCACCACACCTGGCCAATTTTATTTATTTATTTTAATGGTGAAATAGTATTCCATTGTAAATATATACCACCATTTTGTTGTTGCTTACTTGGTTGGTTGGTATGGTCTTGAACTCCTGACCTCAGGTGATCTGCCCGCCTCAGCCTCCCAAAGCGCTGGGATTACAGGTGTGAGCCACCGTGCCCATCCAATCTTGTTTCAGTTTTCAAGGGGAAATACTTCCAGCATTTTCTCAGTTAGTAAGATTTTTTTTGTGGATTTGTCCTACCTGACACTAAGTATTTTGATGTATGATCCTTGATGCCTAGTTTGTTAAGGATTTTTATTATGAAGGAATGTTGAATTTTGTTGAATTTTTTTCTGCGTCTATTAAGATGATCACGAGGTTTTTACTTATAAGTCCATTGATGTGGTAAATTACATTTATTGATTTGCATATATTGAACTAGCCTTGTATCCTAGGAATAAAGCCTATTTGATTGTGATTAAAATAACTTTGATATGTGGCTGAAATTAGTTTGCAAGTTTTTTCTTTTTTTTTGAGGATTTTTGTATCTATCTTCATCAGGGATATTTGGCATATATATATATATATATATATATATATATATATATACATATATATATATATATATATATATATTTTTTTTTTTTTTTTCCTTGTGTCTTTGCCAGATTTTGATATCAGGATGGTGCTGGCTTCATATAATGACTTAGGGAGGAGGCCCTCTGCAACTTTTTGGAATAGCATCAGTAGAATTTGTACCAGCTTGTCTTTATACATCATTTAGAATTGAACTGTGAATTTGTCTGGTCTAAACTTAATTTGGTTGGTATTTTTTTTATTACTAATTCAACTTTGTAACTTATTATTTTTCTGTTCAGAGTTTTATTTTTCCCCTGATTCCATCTTGAGTTATTATGTCTTTCCAGGAATTTATCCATTTTCTCTAAATTTTCTAGTTTGTATGCATAGAGGTATTCATAATGGTCTCTGAGGTTCTTTTGTATTTCTTTGGGAATGGTTGTAATGTCCACTTGTCCATTTCTGATTATAATTATTTATATCTTCTTTCTTTTTTCTTAATCTAGCTAATAGTGTATAAATTTTGTTTATCTTTTCAAAAAGAAAACCAAAATTTTTGTTTTTTCGATTCTTTGGTTTGGTGGGGGGGTCTCAACTTCATTGTTCAGCTCTAATTTTAGTTATTCATTTTATTCTGCTAGCATTGGCATTAATTTGCTCTTCTTTTTCCAGTTCCTTTAGGTTCGATGTTAGCTTGTGGATTTGAGAGCTTCTAACTGCTTGATGTAGGCATTTAGCACTATAAATGTTTAACACTGCTTTAGCCATATCCCAGAGGTATTGACATGTGTCTTTATTTTGATTTGTTTCAAATAATTTTTTGATTTCTGCATTAATGTTATTTTTTATCCATAAGTCATTCAGGAGCAAGTTGTTTAATTTCCATGTAATTTTGTAGTTTTGAGAGTTCCTCTTGATATTGATTATTATTTTTATTCCACTATTGTCTGAACATATGCCTGGTATGATTTTGATTTTTTAAAAAAATTAATCGAGACTTGCTTCATGAGTGCATATGTGATTAATCTTAAAGTATGTTCCACGTGCAGACGAGAAGAATGTATATTTTGTAGTTGTCGGGTGGAGTATTCTGTAGCTCACTATTGGGTCCAATTGGTCAGAGGTTGAATTTAAGTCCATAATTTTTTTTAGTTTTCTGCCTTAATGATCAGTGTAATCCTATCCGTGTGTGTGTGTGGTGGAGCGAGGGGGCTTGAAGTCCCCCAATATTATTGTGTGGCTGTAGAAGTCTTTCATGAGTTTGGGTCCTCCAATGTTGGATGCACATATATTTAGGATAGTTGAGTCTTCTTGTTGAATTGAACGTTTTATCATTATTTAATGCCCCTCCTTGTCCTTTTTTTTGATATTGCTAGTTTAAAGGCTGTATTATTTGATACAAGAATAGTGATCCCTACTCATTTTTGTTTTCCATTTGTGTAATAGATTTTCATCCTTTTACTTTGAACCTATAGATGTCATTACATGTGAGATGGGTCTCCTAAAGACAAAAGAAGGATGAATCTTATTTTCTTATCCAATTTGCCACTGTCTGTCTTTTAAGTGGAATGCTTAAACCACTTTAATATTGATATATTTATTTTTGTTCATCTTGTAGTGATGCTACCTGGTTGCTTTGTATTGTCAGTTGTGTAGTTGCTTTACAGAATCTTTGGGCTATGTATTTACATGTGTTTTTGTGGTAGCAGATATCATTCTTTTTTTCCCATATTTAAAAATCCCTTAAGCATCTCTTGCATGGCCAGTCTGGTGGTAACAAATTCCTTTAATGATTGCTTGTCTGGGAAATGTTTAATTTCTCTTTTGCTTATGAAGTTTAGTTGGTGGGATGTGACATTCTTGGTTGGACTCTCTTTTCTTTAGAAGTGCTAAAATTAGGCCCCCAATCTCTTCTGACTTGTAAGGTTTCTGCTGAGAAGTCTGTTATTAGTCTTACTTTATTCCTTTCGTAGGTGATACAACCCTTTTCTCTAGCTGTCTTTAAGATTTTCCTTTCATGTTGACCTTGGAAAGTCTGATGACTATGCCTTGGATGATTGTCTTGTCTTGTGTAGTATCTCTCAGGAGTTCTCTGAATTTCTGGAACCTGTATGTTGACCTCTTTATTATGATTGGGAACATTTTCATGGGATGTATCCTTGAAAATATTTTTCAAGTTGTTAACTCTCCTTTCTTCTATCTCAGGAAACCCAGTGAGTTATAGGTTGCTTTATATAATTCTGTATTTCTCAGATGCTTTGTTCATTTTTTACAATTTTTTTTTTTTTTTTTTTTTTTTTTTTTTTTTTGTCTGAGCGGGTTGATTTGAAGAACTGGATTTGAGCTCTGAACATTTTTTCCCTCTGATTGATCTAGTCTGTTGTCAAGGCTTCCAAATGTATTTAAAAATTCTTTCAGTCAAGTTTTCAATTCCAGAGTTTCAGTTTGGTTCTTTCTTAATATAGCTGTGCTGTCTTTCAAATCTTGAATCATTTTGCCTGCTTCATAGGATTGAATTTCAACTTTCTCTTGGATCTCATTGAGTTTCCTCATCATACAAATTCTAAATTCTATGTCTGTCATGTCAGACATTTCAATCTGGTTATGATCCATTTCCAGAGAGCTAGTGTGATCCTTTGGAGGGTAAGGAAAGACTGATTTTTTCAGTTGCCAGCATTCTTGCCCTGATTCCTTCTCATCTGAGTGAGCCTAACACTTCTTCTTTTGTTTGAATTTGCTGTTGTTTGGATGGGTATTTTTTTTTTTATTCTTTCTTCCCTTGAGAATTTGACTCTAGTTTATGTTCTGGTTAGCTTCTTTACTTAGTGCTTCCAGAAGGCTAAGGCTCTGTTCTGGTTCCTTGGTTGTAGGTAGGTTCCTATAGTGGGTTTAACAAGTATTGCATGTTGAAATAATATATTTTTGTTGGATGGTGTAACTCAGGCTATAGTCCCACAGATGGCACATAAAAATAAGGGCTGGCATATTGCTTCTTATTCATCTACATTTACCTCTTTTTGTGTTTCAGTGCATTCGAAGCAGTGCAGTGGGAAGGGAAGGTAGAGAGAAGGTAAGAGATGACTCCTTCTCCAAATGCATTTTGGGCCTCAGTGGTGTCTCCTTTAATTGCTGGTTTCATGCCCATAGTTCCCTTGCCCCAAGGGGTCTTTGGTGGGCTGTTCTCCCTCCTTCCTTATGGGTGGTGCATGCTAAAAGTTTGGTCACCAGTAGACCTGTGACTTCCTGGGGACTTACTGATCCTCTGTGTTTGCTATAGTTAGAGTGGGTTATGGGGTATTTCTGCAATTGGTCTGGTGGTGCAGTGGGTCAAGGGTGGAGGATCCTCCAGCACAGCAATGGCACCATAGGTGTGCAAACAGAATGGTGCCTGCAGTCCAGGGTTCTCAGCCTAACAGACAGTTGTGGGCCCTGCCCATTTCTTGGTTGTTCAACCTAGTGGTTCTCCCTCCAGCATCCACTCTGGGATTAGGCATGGACAGCTGGGTTTGTTCCAGTCGTTCTGCACCCAGATAACTGAGCCATGAGGCTCCTTGGGAAAGAAACCATGGCTTTCTATCAGGCCATACCCTTTCAAGTTCAGTGTTGCAGAGGGAGGGATGCCCAGGTCCCATGCTGGCCCACAAGCCCACTCCACTCTTTTATGTGTTTTGAGTGTTGGTGGTCCTCTCCTGCTTGAACTCCAGCCACAAGTCTCAGTTTGATGTCCCTGGGTGGTGTGCTTAAATTCTGAGAAGTTAGGACGGAGCCCATTGTTTGTCCACTGGCTTCATGGGGTCAAGCATCAGCTGTGCTTGGGGTGCAAACTACATCCAGGCGACCAGCAAAACACTCAGGTGGCATACAGGTGGCATAGTGGAGGCTGTGTTGTGGGCACACTTCTGCAGAAATGGCCAGACAGGTGGTCTTAGGAGGGGCTGTCAGGCAAGGGTACACATGGATCAGATGCAATTCAATCCCATAGTAATGGTTACCCTGCTCTCTCCTGTCCTGGCTGAAAGCAGGAGCTGCAGCAAGATCAAGATCCTTGGGGGATGGCCACCAATGATTGTGTTTTGCTGCAGCTGCATGGTGGTGGGGAAATTTCTGGGATCCACATGGGTTCAAGTTATGCCTCTCCCTGATATACAGGTGGCTCCCCTGCCAGTCTGAAGATCTATGGGGGTAGTGGGAACTCCTGTAGCTAAGATTCCAGAGGTCTGTGGGGAAAGTGTGGCATCCTAGGATTCCTTCACTCACCCCTTTCTTCAGTGCAATTTAGGTTCGGAGGTCAGTTCTGGAGCCCAAACAAAATTCCCAGCTTCCTCCCTCTTCAACCACAACATCTACCTCACCTTTTCATCCATTTTCAGTGTGTTTTCCCAAAATACCTGTTTTTCCTCTCTTCTTTAAAGATCTATGTTGACCATAAATTGATAGTAGTGAGTTGGGGTGTGTGTGTGCCTGTGTGCCTGTGTAAGTAAGGGAGGGGCTTCTTTGTATCTGAAAATTGAAATAGTTTAAAAAATAGGTTTGAAATATCTTGTTTGATTAGTTTTATTCTGTGTAAAAGTTCCTGAAAATGTTCTGCTTCTCACTATAGTTCTCTTTAAAAGGACACATTATGAATATTATAACATATATGCATTTTTCTTTGATCTAGAAAAGCTTTTTGTCATAAAAAGAAAATGAGGTTTATTATTAGGTACAACAGTCAAAGAATGAACTAAGGAGCAGATCTTGTTTTTTGTTTCATGTAATACCATTTTAACTAATAGTGTTAGAATCAGAATATAAAACATAAGCAGGAAAGCATGTGATATTTACTAATGACTAAGCTTCCCAACATCTCAAATCATTTTGAAATCAAAATATGAATCTCTGACGAATACTCCCCACTCAGCTCTACAAAGATCCTAAAATAAAAGATAGCTCTAACTATATTATTTCCTCATAATAACCCAGCTTCCCTGGGATAAACATCTTTCATACCAAATAGAATACAGGGACAGAAGGCAATGTATAGAATAAGAAACATAAAAGAGACAGATATTTTGAAAATCTGTTTAAGAGAGTATTTCTAATGACCCAACACTGTATACTATACTCTTTTTATTTTTAAAGACAAAGATAATACAGGCAGAAATGTAAGGAAGTGTCATTGTTATTAGATGAAATACTGTGAATTATTAGTACCCGGGTGCCTAAGTGTAACACAATGTGAAAAAGGAGATACAGCATATGTTCAGCATATTGGTAATAACAGATAATGTAGCACAACTGGCCAGAAGCCTAGATCTATTAACAGCATTCTCTTGGTGACCATGACATTAATAGCTGGAAATGTTGGGGGTAGCCTCAAAAGTGGTTATACCTTGTACATCAATATGTTGAATAGAGTTATCACGGTAACACATAATGCTATATAGGAACAGAGAAAGTTGTTCATGGACTTGCAAGAGACATACCAGTGACTTCCAAGTAGTGTGCTTTAGACTTTGTGGGGATCAAAGTGAATAATTTGTGCAGAGTTTCCATAGACATTTTTTAAAGCTTGAAAATATTGTTTGAAATGAAACATTTCTTATGATGCTATCATATATACATACAAAGTATGGACATAAATGAATATTAATTTTCTATCTAGTATTTTATTTTATTTAGAAATCTAATAATCTAATACTGCTGTCAAATCCAAAGGAACAGTGTCTTTAAAAGTTAACAATAATCATATGTTCATTGTTTTTAATTCTGTTTATATGTTGAGTCACATTTATTTGTTGAACCATTCTTGTATCCCAGGAATGAAGCCCACTTGATCACAGTGAATCATCAGTTTAATGTGCTACTATATTTGGTTTTCCAGTATTTTGTTGAAAATTTTGGCATCTATGTTCATGAGGGATATTGTCTTATAGTTTTGTTTTCTTTTGTCTTTGTCAGATTTTGGTATCAGGATGATATTGGTTTCATAAGGCAAGGGTTGAAAAACCACCTATTAGGTACTATGCTCACTATTTGGATGATGGGTTAATTTAAGTCTAAACCTAAGCATCATGCAATATATCCATGTAATAAACCTTCACATAAACCCTCTTGAATATAAAAATTTAAAAATTCAATAATGTACATAATTTATCAAGTTCTTCCTTTTTCTTTTCATCCCTCCTTTTCTTACTTTATTTAATAAATCTTTATTGAGTTTTGTTTCAAGCTAGCTACTTGGTATAAAATGACACATATGGCATGTGTGTTAGTCTGTTTTTGTGTCACTAAGGGAATACCTGAGACTGGTTAATTTATGACTAAAAGGGTTTTATTTGTCTCATGGTTCTACAGGCTACATAGGAAGCACATGTTATCATCTACACAGCTTCTGGTGAGGCCTCAGGAAGCTTTCAATCATGATGGAGGGCAAAGCAAGAGCCAGGATATCACATACTAAGATCAGGAGCAAGAGAGATGAAACAGGGGCCACAATCTTAAACTACCAGGTCTCACATGAACTAACAGAGTGAGAACTCACTCGTTACTATGGAGATGGCACCAAAATATTCATGAAAGATCACCAGGCCTCATCTCCAACATTGGGAATTACATTTCAACATGAAATTTGGAGGGGACGAATATCTAAACTATATCAGCATGGCTGATGATAGTGGAGAAATCGCAGTCTAGTAAGGGAAGCAGGTATACACAGATAACTTCAATAAAGTGTGCCATATTTGCTAAAGAAAATACATTTTTATAGAGTATTTTTATTAATCAATTATAAACAGAAAGTTCCTGAAAAGAAAACCACCATTTGTAAGATTTTTCTGTAATAACACAGATACATTTTATTTTCATAAAACTGAACCCTAGTCAGCAACATTGCAAATATTGACCAAAGGAAATTATGGGAGCCTGCAATGGAAGTTGTAAGCGAAAAGCTGATGGAAATTTGGAGCAATCAGAATAATAAAACCTTGGAAAAGTTAAAAGGGATTCAAAGATGTTTAATGAGAATATTAGGCATTTTGATAAATATTTGGGTAGATAGTTTGCTTTTATAGAGAAAACAGTTTTGTGATGAAGTCCAGAATCTTTTATTAATGAGACTTGGTCAGGCGTGACCAAGTGAGTGAAGCAAATTCATATTTTTTTTATAAATATAAAGTCATTGTGTTCATTTTCTAATATAAATATTATTGATTAATAATAAGCACAGGGGTTGATAAAAAATATGTGGAATATGTGTACATTTTCTGTCATGCCCTCCTTGATTTATTGCTTATTGAGCCACAACATTTTTTTCTTATAAGGTATGAAAAGCCCATCTTAAAATGTGGACATTTTCTTATTTGTGGCTTAATTTGTCAAATTGCATGATATAGGATGATGCTGATAATATTGATTAATGTGAGGCTCTGGAATTAGTTATTATTATTATTATACTTTAAGTTCTGGGATACATGTGCAGAACATGCAGGTTTGTTGCATAGGTAAACATGTGCCATGGTGGTTTGCTGCACTCATCAACCTGTCATCTAGGTTTTCAGCCCCGAATGAATTAGGCATTTGTCCTAATGCTCTCACTCCCCCTTGTCCCCTGACCCCCAACAGGCCCCTGTGTGTGATGTTCCCCTCCCTGTGTCCATACGTTCTCATTGTTTGACTCCCACTTATGAGTGAGAGCATGAGGTGTTTTGTTTTCTGTTCCTATGTTAGTTTGCTGAGAAAGATGGTTTCCAGCTTCATCCATGTCCCTGAAAAGGACATGAACTCATTCTTTTTTATGGCTGCATAGTATTCCATGGTTATATGTGCCACATTTTCTTTATCCGGTCTATCATTGATGGTCATTTGGGTTGGTTCCAAGTCTTTGCTATTGTAAACAGTCCTGAGGTAAACATACATGTGCATGTACCTTTATGGTAGAATGAATTATAATCCTTTGGGTATATACCCAGTAATGGGATTGCTGGGTCAAATGGTATTTCTAGTTCTAGATCCTGGAGGAATTGACACACTGTCTTCCACAATGGTTGAACTAATTTACACTCCCACCAACAGTGTAAAGACGTTCCTATTTATCCACATCCTCTTCAGCATCTGTTGTTTTCTGGCTTTTTAATGATTGCCATTCTAACTGGCATGAGATAGTAGCTCATTGTGGTTTTGATTTGCATTTCTTTAATGACCAGTGATGATGAGCTGTTTTCATTTGTTTGTTGGCTGCATAAATGTCTTCTTTTGAGAATTGTCTGTTCATATCCTTCACCCACTTTTTGATGGGGTTGTTTGTTTTATTTCTTGTAAATTTTTTTACGTTCCTTGTAGATTCTGGATATTAGACCTTTGTCAGATGGATAGATTGCAAAAATTTTCTCTCATTCTGTAGGTTGCCAGTTCACTCTGATGATAGTTTCTTTTTGTGTACAGAAGCTCTTTAGTTTAATTACATCCCATTTGTCAATTTTGGCTTTCATGGCAATTGTTTTCTGTGTTTTAATCATGAAGTCTTTGTCCATGCCTACGCCCTGCATGGTATTGCCTAGGTTTTGTTCTAGGGTTTTTATGATTTCAGGTTTTACATTTAAGTCTTTACTCCATCTTGTGTTAAGTTTTGCATAAGGTGTAAGGAAGGGGTCCAGTTTCAGTTTTCTGCATATGGCTAGCCAGTTTTCCCAATGCCATTTGTTTAATAGGAAATCCTTTCCCCATTGTTTGTTTTGTCAGGTTTGTCAAAGATCAGATGGTTGTAGATGTTTGGAGTTATTTCTGAGGCCTCTGTTCTGTTCCACTGGTTTATATATCTGTTTTGGTACCAGTACCATGCTGTTTTGGTTCCTGTAGCCTTATAGTATAGTTTGAAGTCAGGTAGCATGATGCCTCCAGCTTTATTCTTTTGGCTTAGGATTGTCTTGGCTATACAGGCTCTTTTATTGTTCCATATGAAATTTAAAGTAGTTTTTTCTAATTCTGTGAAGAAAGTCAATGGTAGCTTGACGGGAATAGCATTTAATCGATAAATTACTTTGAGCAGTATGGCCATTTTCATGATATTGATACTTCCTATCCATGCACATGGAATGTTTTTCCATTTGTTTGTGCTGTCTCTTATTTCCTTGAACAGTGGTTTGTAATTCTACTTTAATAGATCCTTCACTTCTCTTGTAAGTTGTATTCCTAGGTATTTTATTTTCTTTGTAGCAATTGTGAATGGGAGTTCACTCACGATTTGGCTCTCTGTTAGTCTATTATTGGTGTATAGGAATGTTTATGATTTTTGCACATTGATTTTGTATCCTGAGATGATGGGGTTTCTAAATATACAATCGTGTCATCTGCAAACACAGACAATTTGACTTTCTCTCTTCCTATTTGAATGTCCTTTATTTATTTCTCTTCCCTGATTGCCCTGGCCAGAACTTTTAATAGCGTGTTGAATAGGAGAGAGGGCATCCTTGTCTTGTGCCTGTTTTCAAAGGGAATGCTTCCAGCTTTTGCCCATTCAGTATGATATTGGCTGTGGGTTTGTCATTAATAGCTCTTATTATTTTGAGATATGTTTCATCTATACCTAGTTTATTAAGTATTTTTAGTATGAATAGGTGTTGAATTTCATTGAAGGCCTTTTCTGCATCTATTGAGATAATCATGCGGTTTTTGTCATTGGTTCTGTTTATGTGATGGACTATGTTTATTGACTTGCATATGTTGGACCAGCCTTGCATTGCAGGGTTAAAGCTGACTTGATTGTGGTGAATAAACTTTTTGATGTGCTGCTGGATTTGGTTTGCCAGTATTTTATTGAGAATTTTTGCATCAGTGTTCATCAGGGATATTGGCCTGAAATTTTCTTTTTTTGTTATGTCTCTGCCAGGTTTTGGTATCAGGATGATGCTGGACTCGTAAAATGAGTTAGGGAGAAGTTCCTCTTTTTCTGTTGTTTGGAGTAGTTTCAGAAGGAATGGTACCAGCTCCTCTTTGTACCTCCGATAGAATTCGGCTGTGAATTTGTCTGGTCCTGGGCTTTTTTTGGTTGATAGACTATGAATTAATTTCTCAATTTCAGAACTTATTATTGGTCTATTCAGGGATTTAACTTCTTCCTTGTTTAGTCTTGGTGAAGTGTGTGTCCAGGAATTTATCCATTTCTTCTAGATTTTCTAGTTTATTTGCATAGTGGTGTTTATAGTATTCTCTGATGGCAGTTTGTATTTCTGTGGGATCAGTGGTAATATCTCCTTCATCATTTTTTATTGTGTTTGATTATTCTCTCTTTTCTTCTTTATTAGCCTGACTAGCCATCTATTTTATTAATGTTTTCAAAAAATTAGCTCCTGGATACATTGATTTTTTGAAAGGTTTTTCGTGTCTCTATTTCTTTCAGTTCTGTTCTGATCTTAGTTATTTCTTGTCTTCTGCTAGCCTTTTAATTTGCTCTTGCTTCTCTAGTTCTTTTAATTGTGATATTAGGGTGTCGATTTCAGATATTTCCCACTTTCTGATGTGGGTCCGCTGCTCTCTTCAGCGCTGGCAGGCAGGAACGTTTAATTCTGCTGAAGCTGCACCCACAGCCGCCCCTTCCTCTGGGTGCTCTGTCCCAGGGAGATGGGAGTTTTATCTATAAGCCCCTGACTGTAGCTGCTACCTTTCTTTCAGAGACGCCTTTCACGGTGAGGAGGAATCTAAAGAGGCAGTCTGGTCACAGCCGCTTTGCCACGCTGCAGTGAATTCCACACAGTCCAAACTTCCTTAATACTGTGAGGGGAAAACCTCCTAATCAAGCCTCAGTAATGGTGAATGCCTCTCCCCCTCAACAAGCTAGACCATCCCAGGTTGACTTCAGGCTGCTGTGCTGGCAGCAAGAATTTCAGGCCAGTAGTTCTAAGCTTGCTGGGCTCAGTGGGAGTGGGACCTGCTGAAGGAGAACACTTGGCTCCCTGACTTCAGCCCCCTTTCCAGGGGAGTCTCCCTCTGTCGCCTAGGCTGGAGTGCAGTGGCGCGACCTCGGCTCACTGCAAGCTCTGCCTCCCGGGTTCACACCATTCTCCTGTCAGTAGTTGGGACTACAGGCGCCCGCCACCATGCCCGGCTAATTTTTTTGTATTTTTAGTAGAGATGGAGTTTCCCGTGTTAGCCAGGATAGTCTCGATCTCCTAACCTCCTGATTCTCCCGCATTGGCCTCCCAAAGTGCTAGGATTACAGGCGTGAGCCACCGCGCCGGGCCTATTTTGTGTTTTTATGCATTGCTTTTGTTTATTGCTTTGGATAATTTTAAGGTAAATGGACATAATATTTGTTAAGCATTCTGCTTGAAGTGCTGAATATATTTTAACTAAGATTTAAGATTTTAAGATTTATTATAGGCTATAATAATTTAGATTATGCGGTTTTGGTATAGAGATAGAAATATAGATCAATGGTACAGAATAGAGAACCCAGTAAATAACCCACTCAAATATGCCCAACTTATTTTTGACGAAAGTGAAAATACAATTCAACTCAGGAAGAAGGCCTTTGAAACAAATGGTGCTGGAATAATTGGATATCCAGAGGCAAATAAATAAAAGGTGACCTAAGCTCATACCACAAAAATTACCTCAAAATAATTCATAAAATTAAATTTTATATGTAAAAATCTAAAAAATTCAGAAGAAAATAAAGGGGGACATCTTTGGGACCTATGGCAAGGCATGGTATTAGAAGAGTTTTAGACTTGACGTCAAGAGCACAATCCTTAAGAAAGAAAAAAAAAACAATAATTTGGATTACGTTCGAACAAACAAACCATGTTGAAAGAAAAAGGGTGACTTTTCTCAATATATTATCACATACGTTTTGATAAAAATTTTCAAATCCAAGATGCATAGTTTTCCAAATATTCTTTCTAACAAGTTACATTTATAGCAAATTTCTCACTAGCTTATTAATTTATGCTATGAGACTCTGTTTCCAATGTATAGTGTTAAGTGATATAACACAGTAATCTGAAAATGTAATGAAATCATCAAAATATTAGATTCCTATGAATAACATTCTTAGTGTTTACAATATTATTTTCATTTTTTCAAGTATATATATAAGCAATTTAAATGACAACTTTTGCAAGATTCAGAAAATTGAAAATATACTCTAAATTATCATAGTAATGCTAATACTAGGAATTTCCAATTGAAAATAGGAATTTCCATAAAGAGATAAATATTAAAATGAGATCATTAGAAACTGTAAAATTATCAAAGGAATGTCCACAGCAGAGCTTTTAAGAAATTTCAATTTAACAGGAGCTATAAGTGGTTAAGAAATACTGTCTGTGTTTTGATCCACCATTTATTGCAAATTAGTTGCTTATAATTGAAAACTAACAGAAAACCCAATAATGAAATCTTAAAGAATGAAGTAAATGTATTGACTCATTCAAGTGAAAGTGCTAGAAGGAGTTCAGAAAACAGACATGGTTTCATCTGGGATCTGGCTTCGGTTTTGCTCCAGCTCTCATGTGTCTACCAACATCTGGGTACTGGCGTGATGTTTAGTTTGGATAACTCATAGTTGAAGATGTCTGGACAAAGCGGCTATTCTCACAACCATGGAACAAAGTTCCAAAGCTTTATGTTGATTGAGACACTGTTCATTCAATGCCTGTTTTCTGTGGAATGAAATGTGGTAATTTTACTGGGCATCAATAGCTTAATACTCTGGCCCAGATCCCAAGTGAAAGAGACCCCACTTCGTCTGGAAAATGAAGCCAAGTTAATCCTGCCTAACTGTGTTTTTAAAAGGACAGCATTAAGGAGTGACTGTTGGGATATTTGCTGGGTATTGTGTATCTGTTGGGATATTTGCTGGGTATTGTGTATCTGTTTCTTAATCAGAGAGACAAGGTGAACTGTGGAATTGAACAAATTATTGGTGGGATTTATTTGAAGCACCAGAGCTATAGGCCTTGAGTAACTGCTTGGATAATGAGGTTTTCTCTGTGAAGAATTGGGAAAAATATAGATAAGAAAGAAAAAGAAAAAGGAAAATGATGTGATTGAAAGTACTGAGTTTCTCAGTTGCTGGTGCTGTCAGAATTTTGTGAAGAACATGTTATTTTTGTTTGTGAATATTTGATACTTCATATGAAACATTGACAGTACACTGAGACTTGCGGAGCAGATGAAAAGTGAAATTGGCAGAAAGAAAAAAAAAGCTCAACTCATCAGGCATCAAAAATAAGCACACGAATTTCAATAAAATATTACATTCCCGCTGGAGTCCTTAGACTTCCTAACTACAACATTTACTTACAAAACAAGTTACAATAAAATATATATCCATATATATTTGGTTGTAGAACAGAAACAAAACTGGTTTTATAAATCTCAGTATAAAATATTTAGATAATCAATTGTATCAGAAAATATCGACCTAAAGCAAGGTTTAAGAACTGAACACTTTTTTTCCACACTTGTGACTCATGAAAAAAGATAAAATGGAAGTCATAATATAAAGTGGGGCTTATGTGGTAGTCTGGATATAGGGTATTAATTTTAGACATAAAGATTAAATAAGAATGAATGTGCGGGATCGAAAGAGAAAGTGAAGTCAGAAGGCTCCGAAGAGCTCAGAGTAACAAAGAGGATAAAGAGAAGTCTGACCTAGGGAAATTCCATAGATAGATTTTGTTTTTGACAGATTTCATAGATAATGTATAATGGGGGGAGTGACATATCTGATGCGATGACATCTCCCATAAATAGACTGAGCATGTGCAGTTCAGTCTCTGAATATTTGAGCTAGATTTACCCAGGAACAGATTCATTTTCCTTCGTCTCCCAATCAAAACCCCCAGCAGGCTTTTATCTTTTGAAGTTGACAAACTGATTCTAAATCATATTAAAAAAAGAACGCTGAAATAAGTTTGAAAAGAATTTAGTTAAGAATTTTGCTACCTGATTTCAAGACTTTAAAACTAGTTACCTACAGTGAATTAATGGTGAAAGTATTGATAAATATATTAGTGGAACAGAAGAAGTTTTCCAGAATAAACTCACACGTATGTGGTCAATTATTTTTTCAATAAATGTGCTCAGGTAATTTAATGAAGAAAGGATAGATTTTCCATAAAATGGTTAAAGCTGTATATTCATAAGTTAAAAACATTAATCTGGACCAATATCTGATATCATTCACAAAAATTAAGTTCAGATGGATCATGTAGCTAAATATAAATTATAAGTGTTCTAGAAGGAAACAAGGCTAATATCTTAGGACACAAAAACTACTAACAATAAAAATAACAGACATAATGCATTGGACTTCATTGCAAGGAAAAACAGTTCTTCAAAAGATAATACTATAAAAAAATACACTGAGGTACAATAGTTTAATATTTGCAATATAAATTTCTGACTAAAAACTCATTCAGCATACATAATACATAAAGACAATAAAGATGAGATATACAAATGAATACATGAGAAATAATCAAATAAAAATAATTTAAAAACTTTAATCAAGAAAACGTGTAATTGGTCAATGAAAATACATTGACATAGTGTCCAGGAAAATAAAAATTAAAGTCACAATGATATGCAGCTTCAGAATGCTAAGAATGGCTGAAATTAAAGAGACTGGTTATAATACAAAGTGTCTCGGAGGAGGTGAGAGTATAAAATTATAAAAACTTGTAAAACAGGCAGGGTGTGGTGGCTCACACCTGTAATCCCGGCACTTTGGGATGCCGAGGCAGGCAGATCACCTGAGGTCAGGAGTTTGAGACCAGCCTGGCCAACATGGCGAAACCCCATCTCTACTAAAAATACAAAAATTAGTTGGGCGTGGTAGCTCACTCCTGTAATCCCAGTACTTGGGAGCATAAGACAGGAGAATAGCTGGAACCCGGGAGGCAGAAATTGCAGTGATCTGAGATCGCACCATTGCACTTCATCCTGGGCAACAAGAGCGAAACTCCATCTAAAGAGAAAAAAAAATCTTATAAAACAATGTGACAGTTTCTTATAAAGTTAAATGTACACCTAAACAATGACCCGGTAATTTAATTCCTATTTACCCTCAATGATATAAAAACATATGTACAAAAATGTTCACAGCAGTTTCAATCAAAGTAAGCATATTGGACAAAAGACTAATTGTCTATCTTTGGGCTAATAGATACATCTATATAATGGAATACCACCTAGTAACTGAAAGGAGTACTGCATTTTTCTTAAAGAATAAATATATAATGCAATTAGGATGAGTGAAAGAAGACTGACATACAATGAAATGTGTCCTGCATGCTTCTAGTAAAATTAACCTCTGGAAAAAAAAAAACAAAAAACCTAAGATTTGATGATAAATATCAAGTCAATACTTGCCTAGGGTTTCGATGGACTGCTATGGGGACATATAATACTTTTTGGGAGGATGTAAGGAGTAATGACACCTTACTGAGGTGTCATTAATATATTTCATCTATTTGCCCATACACGTTCATCTGTGAAATTAAAATTTGTGCAGTTTAAAAAATCATACCTCAATAAAGCTGATTTTAAAAAGCAAGCAAAAAGGATTGTTGACATTTGATTTCAAATGATTTTAGTCTTTTTAAATTATAAAGCTTTAAATCTCTATCATATTGTCCAACAAAGTCTTACAAAGCCCAAGAAAATTAGAAAGATTGAAAATGATGAGTGTTAGTAGGAAAAGAAAACACTATATGAAGTGTACAAAGACTTTAAAACGATTTTCATTCATAAAAGAGTTTCAGAAGGTTGAGGCATGTAGAATGGCATTTTTGGCAGATAGCAAAATCTGAAAAGAAAAAAGGAAATGTGTATATTCATAGGGTGTACTTTTTCTTTGCTTTATAAATCACTATGGATTTGAAAACATACAAGTAATATTAAGAAGAAGAATTTCTGGAACATTTGAGTATTAAGACAAAGCTAGACAGCTTCTTATTTCACAATGTAAGCCATGCTTGGATAAGAATAAATGAACTCTTTAGCAAAAAGACCAAGTTTAGTTTGAAATTATGACCCTGTGACAATTACGAGCTTTGTAAAACACTTTCTCTCAGATGTATAAATTATCCTCTTTCTGTCTCTTTTCTCCCTCCTTACCTGCCTCCTTCTTCCCAACAATAACATAAGTTCTTGTCAATAAACCTGTTCTTATTATAAATACAATTTATATATAACAATGTGCTGTTATTTGTAATTGAAAAATAGTCCATTGTTATAATAACCTTTTTTATTTCTCTGGGTCCCTGGAAATTAATATTTCTATTACTAAGGATATTGACCTATTTTTCCCCTGACAATGCAGGCCTGTAAGTGCAAATACTATAAGCAAATTTCATGAGATAAGGATCTGTGTCTCGGAAGGAATTCAGGCAGCAATGCCCAATTTACAGTTAATGAACCATATCATAAAGACACATATTGCTAGATAATGAAAAGTGATAGATACACAAACATTTGCAGTATTTAGGTAAAGTTTAGGTCAGATGTATTTTGACCTTCACCATCTGGGTATAAGTTATAAATATGTATACAGATCATTTTTGAATACATATTTTGTCTTTGTGATGATAGATAGATTATGTTTCCAGCAGGAAAGGTATGCAAAAGCCCACAATCTGCTTCTCTTAAGTATTGCCAACATAATTCTCATCTACATTCTATATGTCCAGTCTTAAGCAACAGATTATAAAACCTACAAAATTTTGTTGGATTGAAGTTGTAAATAGCTTTAATACTATTTTGGTGCACTTTTTTATGAGAATGTTGTGTGTGTGCATACATGTGATGTACAATTTAAAGTGTAAGATTCTACCTGAAAATAACTTACTATTTTTAATTTTAAAATTGAGGCTAATGCTACTGTGAAACATACCGATGATTCTATAACCACTGCACAATGTGTTTTCTATAACTAAGTGAATAAACATTATGCAACATTTTAAGTTTTGAAATAAATAAATACTGTGCTTTCTTATTCCATGCTATGAGGGGCGTTTATTTTTATGGCTGCCACTTCTGAATCTCATTGAATCTGAACAAAACAAAACTAAAGAAGGGATACTCTTCCTGAATGATTGTTATTATCTTCTCAGAAGCTATGCCTTCCATCACTTTTAAACAAAACTGTCACTTTGCAAAATTAGATTATTAATTTCCATGAGGTGTGAATCTCAATCTTTGTAGTACTTTTTCAATATAATCATTAAGAGAAAGTTCATGAATACTTAATCAAAAAGAGGCATTTGCATCATATAAATACCTCCAATCTCCTATTATGTATGCAGTGGCTGCATTACCATCTGGCAAAGGTTTCAGTTGACTGAAACTGAAGCAATAAATTAATACAGTAAAAGATACTACCAGTAGTTTTAAACCAATTAAAATGCTTGAAGGAGGCTCAATGCATGTTAAAATGTTATGTCTACGTCTGCCAACAGCTATGCACGAAAGCAATATAATGAGCCAACCATGGCTGAAAGGAAGTTAGCAGGAGTCAAGGGTGCTCTTCATTGCTGGCACTTATAACAAAGGCTTACACAATTAAAAAGTAAATACTGGTGCATACCCATGCTTATCACAACAGCATCCTCATTTCTCAGGCATAGCATGAAACTTACTGTTTATTCTTATTGAACATATAAATACTATTGTTTTTCAAATGACAAAGTTTTTGATTTCATGTCTCTGAAAAATTTCTACTTGTTGGGATCTATTTAAAAAACTAACATTGAATTTATAAAATTTCCGAAATCACTTCAGAATTAGAAAAGATAGATATTTACAACAACATGATTTTGAAAAAGGTATTTTTCTCTAGTTTTATTTTTAAATGTTATTTTGTTTTTTGTTAAAGCTGGTTTTTGTATAAAAAACAGATAAAAAGAAAGCAAGAGAATATTTCATAGAATTTTTTCCATTATGTAGAAGATTCTCTTAATATCATTTAAAATATTCAATGTGTATCTATCTGCATT
Source organism: Homo sapiens (assembly GCF_000001405.40). Classification (NCBI taxonomy): domain Eukaryota; kingdom Metazoa; phylum Chordata; class Mammalia; order Primates; family Hominidae; genus Homo; species Homo sapiens. The sequence goes on along the minus strand of NC_000004.12, from coordinate 136,246,500 downwards.
CACACAATAGAATAAAATGAATTAGAGAACAATTCATTTTCATAAGGCATGTCTAGTACATTGGCATAAACTGATAATCAACAAATTAGAAAAATGTAAAGTATACGTTTCTTATCTTAAGAAATTTAAAATATTTTCCCAAGACAAAATGAGATTATCTTTCTCCACCAAGATTATCTATATCTACCTATCAGTCAGTCAATCATTCATTATCTGTTTAAAATCTATCATCTATTTCTAGTTGGGCAGCATTGATATTCATTATGAATAGAAAAAAACACAAATAGTGTTCCAGTAACTTGAAAAACTCTAAGAACATTCAGTTTGTTCCACTTTGATCCACCATGATCCACTTTGCCTTACATAGTGCCTATAAAATCCATAAAGCTTTCAATAAATAGTATTCTGTTATCACTATTGTCAAGAATATTATTCTACTAGGAAAACATCTATATATGCTATAAGCTATTTAAGTTGATGTAATTCATACCTAATTTCAATTCTATTCCAGACAAATAAATTGACCCTTCTATTTCTTTTACTCATCCTTTGGTAACCAGAATATGCATCTGATGACAATTTTTAAACACATGACTATTTTTGTAAACCACTCTGCAAAGTATATACCATTCACTGATAATACTAATGTCATAAGAGTGCTATCATTGAAATTTGCAACCCTAAAATGCTTTAAATACAGTTTTTTAGTGATAAATATTAAAACATGGCAAGCTTACAATATTGTTTCCTATGCTCATCAAATATGAATTGAGTAGATTATTATTATGGTAGTTTTGAGATATGGTACACCTGTGTGAAACATTATTATAATAAGTTATATCCAATTTGCATAATGTCAATCAATTAGCATTCAATAAAATGTCTTTATTTTAAATTAAAATAATATTTTCCTAACTTCATAATAAGTAAGATTGTGATTAAACTTGTATTTCCTGAACAAAAGTCATTTATAACATAATTACTTCTCACATTAATGTTTGTAATGTGATCATAAAAGCAGACTTTTCATTGAACTACAGGCAGACACAACGTTATATTTCATATAAAGAGATTAAATCATGACAAGGTAAAAAAATACATTTCTTCTGCCAATTAAATATTCAAAATGTTAACAATATTAAGCTTATGCTCTTATGTGATCATTATCTCTTTTCGGAGGTCCCACAACCTCCATTGTATTAATTTTGTTTCTATTTAAATTCTACTAAACTTTTGCCTTATTGGCCACAGGCTATGCAGAAATGAACATAGGATAACAAGGTAAGATCAATAAATAGAGGGAAAATAAAAGTGCCATTGTTTTCCTTCCTATCACCCCTATATCCAGCTTCTGGTAACCAACTTTTTAAACTCTACATCTATGAATTTGACTTTATTATATTCCATATAAAAATGATATCATATTCTATTCTATTTGTCTTTCTGTGCCTGTCCTATTTTATTTACCATAATGCCTTTCATATCCGTCCATGTTGTTGCAAACGGCAAGATTTCCCCTTTTTAAAGTCTGAACAGTATTCCATTGTGTACATATCTCAAATTTTTGTGTCTATTCATCCATTGATGGACACTTAGATTTTTTCCATGTCTTGGCTATTGTGACTAACGCTGCAATCAACATGGGATTGTGGACATCTCATCAACATATTGATTTCAGTTCCTCTGAGAATTCCAGAAATGGCATTTCTAGATCACATGGCAGTTCTAGTTTTAGTGTTTTGAGAAAGCTTCATACCATTTTCCATAATGGCCGTACTAATTTACATTCCCACCAATAATATATAGGAGTTCCCATTTCTCTTCATCCTCTCCAATACTTAGCTTTCATCTTTTAAAGATATCATTTTAATAGGTGTGAGGTGATATCTCATTGTGGTTTTAATTTGCATTTTCCTAGTGATTAGTGATGCTGAACATATTTTTTTCATGTACCTGTTGGCCATGTGTATTTCTTCTTATGAGAAATAATGTGGCTGATTTTTAAATCAGGTTATTTGTTTTCTGGCTGTAGGGTTGTTTGCATTCCTTATATGTCTTGAATATTAACTCCCTTATTGGGATATGTAGCTTGCAAATATTCTTTCCCATTTTTAGGTTTTCTTTTCACTGTGTCAATTGTTTCCTTTGCTGTATAGAAGCTTTTAGTTTTATTTCATCCTATTTGTCTAATTCTGTTTCGTTGTCTGTGTTTTTGGGGTCATTCACCCTTACGTTTTCTCCTAGTAGTTTCCATTTTTATTTTTACTTTGAATTTTTTTTTAAGACAGAGTCTCACTCTGTCACTCAGGTTGGAGTGCAGTGGCATGACTATAGCTCACTGCAACCTAAAATTCCTGGGTTCAAGCAATTCCCCCACCTTAGCCTCACAAGTAGTTGGAACTATAGGCATGCACCACTATGCCCAGCTATTTTTTTAAAATGTTCTCAATTAATTAGTTTTTTTTTGAGATAGGGTCTGGCTCTTTCCCAAACTGGAGTGCGTGTGGTGCAGTTACAGCTCACTATAACCTTGACCTCCCAGCTTCAAGAGATCTACCCACCTCAGCCTCCTGGGTAGCTGGGACTACAGGAGCACACCCCCACAACTGGCTAATTTTAAAAATTTTTGGTAGAGGAGGTCTTGTTATGTTGCCTAGGCTGGTCTAGACTTCCTGGCTCAAGTAATCCCTCCACCTCGTCTCTGAAAGTGCTGAGAATACAGGTATGAGCCACTGCGCCCAGCTTCAAGTCTTATATTTAAGTGTTCATTCCACAGTGTGTTGACTTTTGTATATGATATAAGATAAGGGTCTAATTTCATTCTCCTGCCTGTACATATTCAATTTTTCCACCTCACTTAGTGAAGAGACTGTCCTTTTCCCGTTGTCTGCTCTTGGCATTTTTATCAAAAATCAGTTGACCGTAAATACATGGGTTTAGTTCTGGGTTTTTTATCCTGCTTCATCAGTGAACATATCTGTTTTTATGCTAATACCATGCTGATTTGAGGACAATTGTTTATAATTTGTTTCAAAATCAAGGAGTGTGATGCCACTATCTTATGACGTTTTGGACTATTTGGGGTAGTCTGTGACTCAATACAAATTTAATAATAGTTTTTCTTTCATTTCTGTAAAATGTAACATTGAAATGTTGATAGGGATTGCATTGAATTTATAGATTGTTTTGAATAATATGAACATTTTAACAATACTAATTCTAATCAATGAACACAAGAGACCTCTCCATTTATTTGTATTTTCTTCAAATTCTTCCTTTTTTTTTTTAAGAAGGAGTCTTGCTCTGTCGCCCAGGCTGGAGTGCAGTGGCGTCATCTCAGCTCACTGCAAGCTCTGCCTCCTGGGTTCACGCCATTCTCCTGCCTCAGCCTCCTGAGTAACTGGGACTACAGGCGCCCGCCACCATGCCCGGCTAATTTTTTGTATTTTTAGTAGAGAAGGGGTTTCACCGTGTTAGCCAGGATGGTCTCGATCTCCTGACCTCATGATCCGCCCACCTCAGACTCCCAGAGTGCTGGGATTACAGGCATGAGCCACCACTCCCTGGTTTAAAATTTAATAAAATTTTAATTTTATTAAAAATAAAATTATTTTTATTTTTAATTCTGGGGTACATAGCAGGTGCATATATTAATGGGGCACATGAGATATTTTGATATAGGCATGGAATATGAAATAAGAATATCTTGGGGAATGAGTTATCTATCCCCTCAAGCATTTATCCTTTGAGTTACAAGCAATCCAATTACACTCTTTAAGTTATTTTACAATGTACAATTATTATAGTCACCCTGTTGTGTAATCAAATAGTAGGTTTTATTCATTCTTTTTAACTATTTTTGTACCCGTTAACAATCTCCACCTCCCCACCAGCCTCTCACTACCCTTCCCAGCCTCTGGGAACCATCCTTTTACTCTCTATGTCCAGGAGTTCAATTGTTCTGATTTTTAGATCCCACAATTCAGTGAGAACATGTAATGTTTGTCTTTCTGTGTCTGGCTTATTTCACCTAACATAATGATCTCCAATTCCATCCAGGTTGTTACAATTGACTGGATTTCATTATTTTTTATGGTTGAAGAGTACCCCATTGTGAATATGTACCACATTTTTTTTAATCCACTGATGGACACTTAGGTTGCTTCCAAATCTCAGCTATTGTGAACAGTGCTGCAATGAACATAAAAAGTGCAGATATGTCTTTGATATACTGATTTCCTTTTGGGTTTTGAGTATATACTCAGCAATGAGATTGCTGGATCATATGGTAGCTCAAATTTTAGATGATTTTTTTTTGGAGGAAACTCAAAAATGTTTCCCATAGTGGGAAACATCTTTTAGTCTTTCTGTTCACACCCTGTGTCCCCTCCCTAATTCTGCTGGCTGCTCTCCATGAGGACCTCTGTGAGATACAGGCAGGGTTGGCTTCCCTGGGCTCCAGCTGTAGAATTGGAGTGCCTATAACGTAGTTCTCACTACTGCTTTGACTTTTACATTTTGCATGGCTCCCTAAATCTGTTCAGTTCTAGGTAAGGTTAAATCCTTCTCCCATGATCAGGATTTTCAGATTTCCCGTTGGGAATATGTGCTCTCACACTTTGGGAACTCACAGTGTTTTGCTTGTTTGGCTGAATTTGTAGCAGCCTGTGGCTTCTTTCAAAGAAGATGTGAATTCTTTTGGTTTTCTTGGTATGTTCCTGTGGTGGCTCTTACAGCAGAGAATCCCGGTGTTGAGTCTCCACATGCTGTTTTATCTGTCCAAGTTGGGAGCTGCACATTAGCGCTGTCTCCGATCTGCCGTCTTCCTAAGGCCAATAGCTCTTAGATTTGCCCTCTTTAAGCTATTTTTGAAGTCCCATAGGTGTGCTTCATTGTTTTTTATTCTTTTTTCTTTTGTCTCCTCTGACTGCATTTTCAATTAGCCTGTCTTCAAGCTCACTAATTCTTTCTTCTGCTTGATCAATTCTGCTATTAAAGGAGTCAGATGCATTCTTCAGTATGCTAATTGCATGTTTTCAGCTCCAGAATTTCTGCTTGAATCCTTTTAATTATTTCAGTCTCTTTGTTAAATTTATCCGGCAGAATTCTACATTCCTTCTCTTTGTTATCCTAACTTTCTTTGAATTTCCTCAACACAGCTATCTTGAATATTCTGCCTGAAAAGTCATATATTTCTGTTTCTCCAGGATTAATCCCCGGTGCCTTGTTTAATTTATTTGGTGAACATTGAAGAGTTAGGTATTTATTGTAGCCTTTTTACTGTCTGGGCTTTTTTGTAGTTGTCCTTCTTGGAAAGGCTTTGCAACTATTTGAAAAGACTTGGGTGTTGTGATCTATGCTGTATCTGCTTTAGGGGACACCCCGGGTCCAGTAATGCTGTGGTTCTGGTAGACTCCTAGAGGTGCTGCCTTGATGTTCTTGGAGATAATCCAGGAGATTTTCTGGATTACCAGGAAGAGACTTTTGTTCTCTTCCTTTACTGTCTCCTAAATGAACAGTCTTTCTCTGTCTGTACTGAACCACCCAAAGCTGGGAGTAGAGTGATGCCAGCTTCTCTGTAGCCACCAGCCCTATGACTGTCCTGGGTTAGACCTGAAGTCAGCACAGCACTGGATCTCACTCAAGGCTTGCTGTAACCACTCCCTGACTACTGCCTAGGTTTTCTCTAGGCCCTGGGGCTTTGTAGTAAGCAGGTGACAAAGCCAGCTAGATGTGTTTCCTTCCCTTCAGGGCAGCGGGGTCCCCCAGGCCCTGGGTTGGTCCAGATGCACAGTTTGAGAAACCATAGAAATCTACCTGGTGTTCTATTGTACTGTGGCTGAGCTGGCAGTCAAACCACAAGACATAGTCCATCCCACTCTTCCCTCCCCTTTCCAAAGGCAGAGGAGCCTCACTCCGTAGCCACCAACACCCTAGGCCATGAGGAGTACTGCTAGACTACCATCCATGTTCCCTAATGACCCAAGGGCTCTTAAGTCAGCGTGGGGTGAATGCTGCCTGGCTTCAAACTCACCCTTCAGGGCGGGCATTGAGCTCCCCTCTGGTCCACAGCATGTCCCGAAATGTTATCCAAGAGTCAAGTCTTGGAGTCAGGGACCCCCAAGAGCCCACTTGGTGCTGGTACCTAAGGTGTAAGGTCCCCTTTACTTTTCCCTCTGCTTTTCTCAAACAGAATGAATATTTTTTCCCATAGCTACCATAGCTGGTAATGTGGTGAGCCTCACCTGAAGCCAGCAAGTCTCAGAGGCTCACCCAAGGCCCTCAACATAGTATTACTGGGTATCACTGCTGGTGATTCAGAGCCCAAGGGCTCTTCAGTTAGCAGGTGATGAATGCTGGCAGTACTGGATCATTTCCATCAAGGCAGAGGGTTCCCTTCTGGCCCAGGATATGTCTAGAAATGCCATCTGGGAGCTAGGGGCAGAAATATGGGCTTCATGACTCTGACCAGTGCCCTATCCTGTTGTGGCTGAGCTGGTATCCAAGAAGCCAGACAAAGTTCTTCCCATTCTTCCCTCTCCTGTCCTCAAGCCAAAAGAAAAAAAAAAGAAAAAAAAAAAAGTTGGGGGTCTTTTTTGTAGCCATGAGCTATGCAGCCTGGGGTTAGAGGAAGGGTGATGCCAGCACTCCCTTAACCATCCCAGCTGGTGTGTCTCAGTAGGTCATGTGCCCCCGAGTCCTCTGTCTCTGGGCCTAGTTCAGCAATAGGACTCACATAAGAATTGCAGTCCCTGTGCTCTAGACTGCTTTCAAATATACTGAAAAACAGCACTGTATCCCTTGGTGGCAAGGTTTGTGGGAACTCAAGTTCCAGCTGCTGGGATTGGTGATTACCCTCTGGCTAGGGCTGGTTTAAATGCTCAGCTGGTGTCAGCTGAGTTTGGTCTGGTTTTACCATTCTCCTGTAACAGGACAGCACTGAGTTCAATGCCTCACAATTTCTGTGTTCTCCCTCCCCTGGGACACTCAGAGATGCTCTTTGTTCCATGCTGCAGCTTCTGGGTGTAGGAGAGGTGTGGTGGCAGCGAATCAAGACAGTTTTTTCTACCTTTTAAGTGCTTCTTTCAGCAATATAAAATTAAAACCAGGTACTATGGGTGCTCAGCTGTCTTTGGGTTCCTATGAAAGTGTTTCTGTGTAGACAGTTGTTAACTTGGTGTCCTTGTGAATGGGATGATCCATGGAGCCTTCTATTCTGCCGTCTTGCTCCACCTCTTCTTCAAATTCTTTTATAGCGTTTTATAGTTTTCACTACACAGGTCCTTTACCTCATTAAATTTACACCTAAGTATTTATGTATTTTTGTCATTGTAAATGGGATTGTTTTCTCAATTTTCTTATCGGTTATTTTATTAGTATGTAGAAATGCTATTGATTTTCGAATTTTAATTTTGTATTCTGCAACTTTGCTCAATTTGTTTATTAGTTCTAACAGTTTTTGTTTTGGTGCATTCTATAGGGTTTTCTATATATAATACTATGTCAAAGCCAATAAAGACAATTAATTATTTCCAATTTGGATTCCTTTTATTTATTTATTTTTTGTCTAATTTCTTCAGTGAAGACTTCTAATACTATGTTGAAAAGAAGTGGTAAGAGTAGACATCCTTCCCTTGCTCCTGATCTTAGGGTAAAACTTTTCAACCTTTCACTATCAAGAACGATATTAGCTATGGGATTGTCATATGTGGCCGTTATTGTGTTGAGGTACATTTTCTCTATACCTAATCTCTTGAAAGCATTTTTTCAATTACTTTTTTGCAATTGTGGAGATTATAGGAATTTTCTCCTTCATTTTGTTAATATGGTGCATCACATCTATTGATTTGCATCACAAGGATAAATTCCACTTGATCGTGGTAAATAATGATTTTAATGTGTTCTTGAATTTAGTCTGCTAATATTTTGTTGAGAACTTTTGCTTCCACATTCATCAGGGATATTGTCTTATAACTTTATTTTCTTGTTTTGTCCTTGTCTGGCTTTTGTATTGGGGTAATGTTAGCCTCTTAAAATGAGTCTGGAAATGTTTCTTCTGCTTCAATTTTTTTGGAAGAATTTGAGAAAAATTGGTATTTGCACTTCTCTAAATGCCTGATGGAATTCAGAAGTGGAGACATTCGTTTATGGCCTTTTATTTGAAAGGATGTGTATTATAATAAGTCAATCTCTTTAAGGGCTTTTTGTTTAAGAGTTTCTTTCTTTCTTTTTTTAAGTTTGACTAGCCTTTGATAGAATCTTTTAGTATTAAAAACAAAACTCTTAACCCACATCTGAAATAACAAGTATAATAAAAATACAGTCATTACAAAACAATGAACATATGTAAATATCATGGTGAATTTGGTATGGCTGTGGGATAGTTTTGGGTCAGTGGACAAAGGCAATTACATGGAAGAACCAGTATGAGTATTTTTGACTTTATCTATTGTGACATTAAATATCACAAGGAATTTTAAGCATATTTGAATAAAATTAGATTTGTTAAAGAAGATAAATGTGTAGAAGAGACATTGAGAAGATAATGAGCTTTGCTATGACAATCAAGGAGATTTTAAAACAGTAGGATAAGATGTGATGAAGACATGAACTAGGGAGGAAAAAATATGAGTGAGGATCCATTCACAGTGCCAAATAATAGATATCTAGTATAAGTCTGAGGGCATCTGGGCCCAGAAGCTAAGCAGCTGCCTTATTCCTGGCTATTTCACAGGCTGGTGTTGAGCATCTGTTGCCTTTCCAGGCACATGGGCAACCCTTCTTTATCTGCCATTCTGGGGTCTGAAGACAGTGCCTTTCTTCTCATAGCTCCACTAGGCAGTGGCTCAGTGGAGACTTTATGTGGGGACTCCAACCCCACATTTCCCCTCTGCATTGTCCTAGTAGAGTTTCTCCATGAGGGGGCTCCACCCCTTTAGCAGACTTCTGCCTGGACATACAGGCATTTCAATACATCATCTGAAATCTAGGCAGATGTCCCCAAAGCTCAATTCTTGGCTTCTGTGTACCCATAGGCCCAACACCACATGGAAACCACTAAGGCTTAGGGCTTAGACCCTCTGAAGCAACAGCCTAAACTATACCTTGACCTCTTTTAGTTACAGCTGAAGCTGGAGTGGCTGGGATGGCAGGGCACCATGTCCAGAGGCTGCACAGAACAGTGGAGCCTTGAGATCAGCCCACAAAACCATTTATCTCTTCTTAGCTTCCAAGCCTGTGCTGAAAGAGGCTGCCTTGAAGATCTCAGAAATTCCCTGAAGACATTTTCCCCATTGTCTTGGTGATTAACATTCAGCTTCTTGTTATTTATGCAAATTTCTGCAGCCAGCCTGAATTCCTCTCCAGAAAATGGGCTTCTCTTTTCTACCACCTGGTCAGGCTGCAAATTTTCCAAACTTTGATTCTCTTCTTCCCTTTTAAACATAAATTCCAAATTCCAATCCTCTCTTTGTGAATGCATATGACTGGATGCTTTTGGAAAAAGCCAGGTCACATCTTGAATACTATGCTGCTTAGAAATTTCTTCTGCCAGATACCCTAAATAATCTCTCTCACATTCAAAGTTCCACATATTTTCAGGATGGGGCAAAATGCTGCTAGTCTCTTTGCTAAAGCATAGCAAGAGTCACTTATTGCACTTCCCACTAAGATCCTCATCTTTATCTGAGACCACCTCAGTCTGGACTTCATTGTCCACACTGCTATCAGCATTTCTGGTCAAAATCATTCAAAAAGTCTCTAGGAAGTTTCAAAATTCATTCATCTTCCTGTCTTCTTCAGAGCCCTCCAAACTGTTGCAATCTCTGCCTGCTACCCAGTTCCAAAGTTTTTTCCACATTTTCAGGTTATCGCTATAGCAGTGTCCCACTCCCAGTACCAATTTCCTGTATTAGTTCATTCTCACGCTGCTATAAAGATACTACCTGAGTTTGGGTAATTTATGAAGAAAGGAGATTTAGTTGACTTAAAGTTCTGCATGGCTGGGGAGGCCACAGGAAATTTACAAACATGGTGGAAGGTGAAGGGAAGCAAGGCATGTCTTACATGGTGGCAGGAGAAAGAGAGAGCATGAGGAAACTGCCAATTTTAACCCATCAGATCTCATGAGAACTCCCTCAGTCTCATGAGAACAGCATGAGGAAAAACACATCCAAGATCCAATCACCCTCCATTAGGTTCCTTCCTCAACATGTGGAGATTACAATTTGAGATGAGATTTGGATGGGAGCACAGAGCCAAAACATATTATTAGGTCTCCAGAGTTTATTCATCTTATTATTGAAGATCATGCAAATATTTTAACTGATAGTTTCATGAATTGCCCAATCACATTTTAGCAATGTAATCTATAGGAATTAAACTTTATTTCTGAGTTATTTTTACTTGTTTGGAATGTGGTAACATTTTAATTTAGCAAACATTGACAAGTTGAAAACTGCCACCATGAAAAACTAATCATAATCTAGTGTCCTTGCTTAAAAATATAGTTGATTTCCGTGTTTCTAGCAACTTCTTTAAAAAACTTGTAATCACAAGGCCACATGCAATTATGAGCTATAACAGAGGCTGATAATTTTTCACAACTACCCATGCTTTCCTTTAGTTGCTAAGGGGTCTAGCAACTGAATGTTAGATGTTAGAGACTGTATTTCTGAAACTATTTTTCGTTGTGTTTGGGCATGCTATTAATTACAGGAGACAAAATTAAAATGGCAGTGATGTATGTACTCCAAGGGCAGATATTTATAAGGTAATTGTTTGCTTTCTACTTCCTCTCCTCCCTCTTTGGTACAGGTTGAAATGTGAACTTGATGGTAGGAACACAGTCACTTACACACCTGAGAAATGGGAGATAAGCAAGATGAAAGGAATCAGAGTTTCTGTTGTGACTAGCCATATTGACTGTATACCTTGGCCAACTGCCACCATGGGCTGTTATATAAGAGACTGACACAATTCTTTTGTATTTGTACCACTTCATTGTAGGGTGTTTTTTGTTACAAACAAATAATAGTGTACTAGGTAATGTAAATGTTAGTTGAATTATGTCCCTGGAAGTTATATGTGAAAAATGTGATTCTGATCTCTTGCAAATTAAGGAGTTGATGCCTGTATTGAAAATTATTTCTTGCCAAAATTTTCACTCTGAGGTTTTCCAAGTAGCAGAAACACAAGAAATTTAAAAGCTGGAAGTTACGAACCTGCTGAAAAGTTAATGCGGATCACTGCTTTAGACGATTTCTTAAATAAAAAGACATAGTTTCAAATTTGGGTAGAAAGCTTTAAAAAAAATAGCAATTAGAGAAAGACAAGGAGTAGTAATGAATTAAATAGGAGGTGATGGTATTTAAAATGTCAGTGTTATCCTCAAGTGCACATACAGAGTAACTTCTTGTAAAGCAAAGGAGTTAATATTTGAAAAAAAAAAAAAAAAAGCCGTGTTCCAATAGATGTCTAAAGCTCACTATGATGCATTATTGTTTTGTCGAAGGAGGCAGAAGCAAATAATATAAACCTCAGAATAAATAAATAATTCTAGGCTCAAGGAAACACATTTGCTATATTCACAGTGCATCCCTTGTATAGTTCCTACATTAAATCCATCAAATATATTTTTCTGTGCTTAAGATAATTATTGTACATGAAATTATCGTCCTGAATTAGTGACACACTGAATTTTAAGGAGAAATTGTCTTAAATTTACTAGTGATATCAAAATTATATATTTACTAGATGATCACTAGATAGCTAAAAGTGATCAAATATGTAAATTAAATTGAGAATACAATTTTTAAAGTTTCCCAGGATACAAAGGAAAAATAACAGCACTACATGGAAATTGCTTGAAATGCTTATTGCCATAATCAATCATGAGTATTCTCAGAGCAATCTGAATTGAAAGCCTACCTTAGGATTAAGATTTCAGAGGGAGCTTTACAAAATGACCTGGACATACAAGTTGGAGAGAAAGATGATTAGCTAATAATTAAAAAATTATCCACTTCACCCACTGTTTCGCCTTCTCCCCACCCCACACCACACACTCATACAACAAAGAAAGAAAGGGTACTCTTCTCTCATATCCATTAGGTTTGCCACTGATAATTTTTTTTTATTTGTTTGGGTAACCTTATGAAGCAATACAAACATGAAAATTATCTTCAATCTATCTGCTCAATCCTCCCGGCTTGTTAAAATGTGCATCTCTTCAGCTAGAAACACTGTCCAGTAATACTTCTCATTTTTTACAATGAATACTGTACACTAGTAAAGGTAGGTGCATTCTCTAAGCTTGGAATCTTTCCTGGAAAGTTATGAGGTGGTGGCAAAAGCTAATGGGGCTGAAGAACCACTGGTTTCATTTCCAGCACACACTGTGATGATATTTCTATTTCCTTTGCAGGTGCTTGTTCCCTCATACTGCATTCATCGACTCCTAAATGTGAATGGTAGTGAACTTAAATTGCATTCTTCACTCACTTCACCACCAAAATACGACACTATATAGCACTAGAGAATTCCTTTGTCTTTGAGCTGTCATCCAGAGCATGAACTGCTCACATCTGCTGTTAATGTGTGGAAAATTGAAGCATCAATGCTTCCATAGCACAGGGCATGGAGGGGCTTGGTAGGGACATTAGAGAGAACTGGAAGAGTTCTGCACTATCTGGTATTTATTTTAAATTTATCTAAACAGAATAGTTAAAACAAATTTTATAGTGGTTGGAGATAAAGAGAACATGAAATAAGAATTGGTAAATTCCAGGTATTCCCCCTGCAAAAAGCCCATGCTGGAAAATGGTTCCTTTTCCAATACCTCCACTCTTTTCTTTTATGTCAGTAATTATTGGACTAAATACATCTGGTTGTCTTTATGTTGTTGTTGTTGCTTGTTTTAAATACATGTTTGGTAGTGTTTTACATAGCATGTAGATCTGTAAGAGACTTGTGAGAACACAAATATTAACCCTACCATCAGACTCAATCTTCCCTGGCAGCTATTCTTCTGTGCAATGCTTTTGTACACACTGATCTGCTTTCTCTTGATCCTGCTTTCGGATACAATATGCATATACTTTTAGACTCAGCACAAAAGGCAATGACATTGAAAATTTGCAAATGGTGCTCCTCCCAGGCTGAATGAGCTACTTCTTCACTTCCTTCCACATCCTGTCATGCATATTTCTATTGCAATACTTGTCACCAAAGGTTGTGATTGTCATTATACTTCTAACTCTCCCTTACTGAATTATAGGTTTCTTTCATTTTTCTAATCTTAAGAAACGAGCCCAAGTGTGTGGCACCTCTGTGTCCTCAACAGTGTTTATTGAATAATTTAATGAACTACTTACTTTACACATATTAAATTGAAGCTTATATTGATTAAGGGGCTCATAGTTATTAAATTACTTGCAAAGTCAAGATGTTGCACCTACCTCTTAGGCCAAAGGTCTTGTCATTTCAAATTATGTGCTCTTAGAAGCAGTTATTTTCTCTTTCCATTTTCTCAGTGCCATCTCAACACCTATTTATAACTAAGAGTATGTTGACAAAAAAAAAAATTAGCTAGGGACGCTAAGTGCACAAAAAGAAACTGCTTAAGCAAAGATTTACATTGTTTTTTGTCCCCCAGTGATTTTCTACAGCAGTTGTTTGTAAGTCTGCCCTCACTTGCCCTGTCACATCTGTAAGAACCTGTGTGGGGAAAAAAAAGTACAAAATACATCTCTCAGTTTAGTGAATAGTAGTCTTACTAGACAGTGTTGAGGTGGACTTTAACTTTGCCCTTATGATGGGAGAAGCCAGCAAAACCTGTGAAATGCCTTGAAAGAATTTTTGGTGCCAAAGTCTCAAGGAATTAAAATCTGTCAATTTCTCAATTTTTTTTTCTGATTTGTAAGAATATTACAGAGTATTGAACTTAAAGTTGTTTACTTATTTATCTTAAGAGTCTTTCTCAAGGTGGACTAATGGGTAATTTTATGTTTAACCAGTCACAAATATCAACTTTACAAATATAGCAATTATGTTCAGCATGAAATAATTTTAGGACAAAAAATAAATATTGAGATTATTTAGAATATTTATTTATTTTAGATACATAGCAATTGAGGCAGAGAGAAAGTAAGCTATTTGACCATAATCATACTGATAATTAAAGACTAATAATATTTTAGATTTTTGACTTTAAGCCCAAATTTCTTTGCACTAAATTAGCTCCCTTCATAATTTTATAAAACTAAAATTGTCATTCTTTAAAAAAATGTATTTGAGAAAATCTGAAACTCAATATTGTGTTCATAATATGTCAATATGGAAAATAGAACTATGTTGGTTCTATCTTAAAGTTGGATAAATGACAATTTTTTAATATTTTTCAGAAACAACAAAAATAAAATAGAATTTATTAAATTATTTTATCTCTATGATAACTTCTACTTTTGTCATCTAGTCAATTATGATACATATACAATTCTATTTGTAATTTACAAATTTTATCTGATCTGCCCCATACACCAAATTAAGTTTTATTTTGTTAGTTGTTTTCTTGTAAAGTCTTCTTTCAGGTAAAGTGCAAATTACACTCCTTTCTCTAAAACATAAAATCTTTTCATATCAGTTTCAGTGTTTTCATACAAATTCAGAGTTCTGTGGAGAGTTAAACTTAAAAAAGATATTATCCATAATTCTATTTTAAAATATACATTATATTTTTGACAATTTAGGCAGTGTATTAGATTCCTGGGACTTCCATAACAAAGTATCATAGACTGGGTGGCTTAAACAACAGATATTTATTTTCTCATGCAAGCTGGAAGTCTGAATTTGAAGTATTGGTGGTTTTTTATTTCTTCTGAGGACTGTCCTTGAATTGTAAGTGCCCCTCGTCAGTTTGTCTTTCCTCTGAGTGCAGGCATCCTTGGTGTCTCTTTGGGTATCCAAATTTTCTCTTTCTATAAGGATGCCAATGAGATTGGATTGGGTCTACCCCCAGTGGCCTCATTTTAACTTAATCCTTTCTTTAAAAGTTCTATCTCCAAACACAGACACATTCTAAAGTACATGCGGATAGAGCTTCAATATGTGAATTTTGAAAGGGACTCAATTCAGCTGGTAACAGGCAGCTCATATTTCAAACATACTGAAACAAACATCTCTGACTCTTATAAGGCAACAATACTGTCGAAAGCTCTCTGGTTTCAAAGTTAATAGTTCTGAGTACTAGACCTATCTCTCTTTAATTGTCTTTGTATAAGTCTCAAAATCTTTCTGTAGTTTAGTAATCTCACTAGTTAAATAAAAAGTTGGGGCCAAAATATTCTTAAGTTTCTTCTCACTAAAATCAATGACCCATTAATTTTTTTTAGCATGAAAAAATTCACTTTGATTCCATAGTACCTCTGAAATTTCCCATAATATAAAATAATAAAGTTCAAATTTTTCAAGGTTTCTAGGCTACCTTTTAAAATAAGAATATAACTCTTTCCACTTTGTTGCCTTCAAAGTTTTGCTATCAGGACTGTGTTAAAAATGCAAAATGAATTTTTAACAGAGCATTGACACTTGCATTGTTAATGTGCCTCCAGGCATGTAATTAGCTGAGAAGTTTAATCTTTTATATTCTAAAGTTTGATCAGAATGCATGAGCTCAGAAAAGCTATAAAGTATTGACCAGCATCTTTGATAACAATAAAAAGGAAATTCTAAGCAGCACTTTGCGTAAATGCAAATGCCCCTTTGTTGCTTCTCAATAACTATATTAAATATAATAAAATGATTATTTTTTGATTATCAAATAGCAACAAAGTGTGTACTATGTTTCCTACTTTTGATTTTTGAGATATTTATTTTTCTTGTGAAGACTTAAAAAGAGTCATGTGTGACTCTCTGATAAATGATTAATTTATTCTATGAACGATTCATCTTTAACATATTATATTGCCCATTAAGAGGAGGAAAAGTCTGCTAGGTGAATATATAAAATAGAAATATAATGTAGACTATTTAAATAAATTAATGTGTTTCTCATTTGTCTATGTTGTGTAAATATTAACACACATTTATTTCTGTACCATTCAATAACAGTTATTTGATAGATGAGATAAGGAGAAGGTGTTATGATTGTGCTGGATACTGGTGATTAATGTTATGGGAACAAAATGAGTAAAGACCAGAAAAATGAACCTCACAGATGAATTGGAAACATATCAAAATAGGGTAACCATATCAGTCAGTAGGTAAGTTTATTTCATGTGGAGAGTATGTGCATAGACATATACTCTAATTGTTCAGAAGCTGTTTCTTTCATTAGTTTCATATTCACTCATTGCCCAACACATCCTAGGTGGTAAGTAAATCTTGTTGATTAGAAGTTGCATGGGCCTAAGAGGAAAATTGGAGAATTCTATAGTGTCTCTTAGGAGAAAGCTGAAGATTAGTTCTGGTGTGGTTATATTCATCTAGAAGAGGTAAGTTTGGAAGTTTATCAACATATAAAGTAAAAGCTAGTGGTAGGAGAAGTATGAAAAAAAACCTCTTTTTTTAAAAAGACCATTCTTGTGGCTGAGATTGTCCTGATATTTGTATTTTAAAAAAATTACAGTGGCAGTTAATTTATACCAAATAAAGTTAATTTATTTGGTATGAATTCAAATTGATAGCTTCAGATAGCAGCTATCCATGTATTGATGAGATAATACAATCACCATAAAAAAGAAGTTATTTGGCCTTAGTTGGGAACAGAAATGGGAATATAAATGAACCGAAGAGATCTGTCCTATTTCTGTGCTTCCGTTTGTACTATACTACATGTATGCAGTATTGTATACATACCACCGGGATGGTGAAGCACTCACTCAATAGATACGATTTCATGTTTCTCTATGATTATAGTCTTCTCATTTGGTATTTTGTAAACTTTTTGAGATATGACTTCATATGAGATTAGTGCTTCATATGAGATTAGAAAGGTAGATAGGTGTTTATATTGTGCTCGATCTGGGGCAAACAATTTGTGAAGCATGGCATTTGTGAGAATCACATGTGTTTGAGAGTTACAGAACATGTACTATTGTAGGAGCCTCAAGTGTAAGTACTAGGGCTGGGATTCCAGGAAGAGTGAATTACGAAGGGCAGAATGAAAGTCAGGAATGGAGGGATAGGAGGATGAAGAAAAGAAAAATACAGTAGACAATGTTGATCAGTAGAAAAGGGGCAGGATCATATAAAGACATTCTACCACGACAGAGTGCTTGCATTTTATACTTAATGAGAGAAAGACTCATTGCAGAAATTTAGTAGGGAAGTGGCAATAAAAATCATGCAAATAAGACTTTTGGCAAATAATTGACGCTTATATAATATTGAATGCAGAAAGTATAACACTTGAAAATCAGAACTTATTTTGAGAACATCTGAAAACAGCCAACACCACAGTGATTCCAAAATAAGAGGGAACAGAAAAATCAGGCTTGTCTATTAACCATGCCAACTCCGGAGTTCATTTCAGACTTTTAAATTAAATTAACTGGGAATGGTCTTGGGGATTTTTATTTTAGCAAGTACTCTAGGTTACTCTTATATACATATTTTGGCAATACTACTTTACAGGCCCCTCTGAATGTAGGTCAGTGGACTAAATTAAGTATGAAGGGAACTGGGTTTAAAACCTGGCTCTTCCCTAAGAATAGCAATGACAATAATACACAAGTATATCTGTGCACACATACATATGTCTATGGAGGTGGGTTGCCTCCAAATCTTTAACAATGCTATCCTATTTTAGCCTCCCAGAATCCAATGATTAATTCAGGTGAAGGAATTTTTTTTTCCTATTTTAGGAAGGAGACTGAGACTCATAGAAGATAAGTGACTTATTCCAAGTCACACACAAAATAAAAGGCAGAAGAACTACCAAAACTAAGTTCACACGCATGATTCCCTAGTTCATTTATATATATATATGATATCATATATATAGATATCATATATATGATATATATATATGATATATATATATATATATATATATATATTTTAACCTCACAGCACTAGATAGCCTATTATAGGACACTAGGAAGATCACTTGATGTTTTTCATTCTCATAAATAACATGATCAGGTCGGACCAGTGGTGTTCAACTGGGGGTGGTTTTGCCCCCAGTGAGATATTTGACAATGTGTTTTGGTTATCATAACTTCAGGAGAGGGAGTGCTACTGACATACAGTGAGTACTATATGTTACTCACTATAGTATTATAGTGAGTACTACAGGGAGTGCTACTAACATACAGAGTAGTAGGGATGATGCTAAACAATATATAGTGCACAGCAGATACCCCAGCAGAAATTATCTGGATCAAAATGTCAATAGTGCTGAGGTTGAAAAATCTTGATTCAGATTAAGTACATCCAGAGCTCCTTTCCAGCTCTAAAATTCAATGACTATCAAGTTGCTTATGCATCTAGTACAGCAAATAGGATAAATTTGAGAGGGTCAGTGCTATAGGTATTGAATTTCTCCTTTGCCTAAGTACTCTCAATAGTTTATGATCTCTTAATTTCTTTTTATCCTGATATCATTTTGACTCAGTGTCTGTGACATTTCATCGTTTTGTATCTAAAATATGCTGAAAATATAAAGAAGATATCATGATTCATTGATTTTCTACTATGTGTTAAGCAATTTTCATGTATATTGGATTATTGGATCCTTAAAACAGTATTTTCATACAGACATTATTATTCCCACAGCCGCTTTTGTAGTATAGACAGTCTCATAATATTGGTCTTAGAAATAATGATTTGGCTTTCCTTGGCAAATAAATAAGTTGATTATTCCAGCCCACATATCTTTTAAATCAATGGGTTTGGTTAAACTGTCTGAACCTCAGCACAAACTCATACTGTTCAGGCTCTTCTCTGTGGTGCAAAATGAGACTTTAAGGGAGAAAGGCAGATCAGTATATGTTTCCTGGGGCTCAGCATAAACATCACAGAGAAGCAGAGGAATCTAAAATACTTAGGTTTTTTTTTTTTTTAAATACCATTGGTAACCATCACTAACACACAAAAGACTTAGTCTGCAAGTGAGAAAAATCAGTGGACTTAGTTTTTATTTTTTTGAAACACCAAGTATTTGCAACTCCAGTCTTGTCACTAATTAGCTACATGATTCTGGGAAAGTCAATAACTTTTGTTTTCACTTTCTTCAATGGTAAGCGGTAAAGTTGAAGTAAAAAATTTCTAGCATCCTTTCCAACTTTATAAAATAAGATCTACTTTTGTAATCTACTTATTCGGAATTCATTTAAAGAGTCCCATGGTTATTTGGCAATCATCCTTGTAGAATGTAGAAGAAAGTGTGTGTGTGTGTGTGTGTGTGTGTGTGTGTGTGTCTGTGTGTGGTGTCCATTTTAATTACCAGCAAGTGGTAAAGACTTATTTTATGATTAAAAAATGTAAATGTGACTTCTGATTTTAAATAAACCTCCATTTTTCCAACCTCAATAAAAACATTTTCAAACTTTGTAATAATAATTTGAAGTGAAAGTCTTTAAGAAGGGCTAGAGATAAAGATTCATATCTCACAGGAAAATAAGGATGTTGACCTGGAATAGAAATGTTTACTTACACTTGACTCTGCCTTATATTTACGAGTTTCATAATACTTCAAAATAACTCAACTCTGTTAAGAACAAAGCAGACACAAATAAGTTATTACTTTGTAGAGCCTTCCCAGCCAGTTCCTCTATAAATACTTGTCAGTTCTCTATTTCGTGCTGGTATTGTGAATGTAGTAATATATGTTTCATTAAAATAGAAAACAAAACAACACAAAACAAAACACTGGAAGGCCGCATTTTAATGCTTAATCCAATAGCCCTTATCTTGATTTGCTATTGCTGACTTAACGGAAATAAGGTATAATGAGTTGATTAGTTGCATTAGTGCCTCCCAAACCACAAAATCATGTTCGCCCCTGGAATCACAGATTGCAATCTTGTTTGGAAGTAGGGTTTTTGCAGATGTAATTAGTTAAGGATCTCGAGGTGATAATTATACTAGATTTATGGTGCACCCTAAAGATAATGACTGATAAATTTGCAAAAAGAGAAGAGGACAGGGAAACAGAGAAGAAAGACATGCTATGATGAAGGCAGACAGAGATTGAAGTTACACTACTATGTGCCAAAGAATGCCTGGGGCCACCAGAAGTTATAAGAGGCAAGAAAAGATATTTCCCTACAGTC
This sequence comes from Homo sapiens, assembly GCF_000001405.40. NCBI lineage: Eukaryota > Metazoa > Chordata > Mammalia > Primates > Hominidae > Homo > Homo sapiens. The sequence continues at coordinate 136,226,227 of NC_000004.12, read as the reverse complement.
TGCAGAGGGAGCATTGTCTTGATAACAGTGATATTTCAGACTTTGAGTCTACAGAAGTATGAGAGTATGACAAGTATGAGAGAATGAATTTCCCTTGTTTTGAACTTCTCAGTTTGGTATACACTGTTATGGAAGCCCTAGAAAATGAACATAGATTTTGGTACTTGAAAGTGGATTGTTTTTGTATTGGATTTTTGAAACTGAAATGTGAAAGTTCTTTTGAAATCAAGTAATGGGCAGAAGATGCAAAATAGCAGCTCATGATTAAAAAAAAAAAAAGTCTACTTTCCCTGGAAGAGACTCTTGGTGAAAATATGGACATTGTAGGTACTTCTGTTAAGGCTTCAGAAGGAAAGGCAAAACAGTTATTAAGTACTGTTATTAAAAAGAGTACTTAATAACAATAATGGGTTGAATAGTGTCACTCCAAAATTCGTGTCCAGCCACCCAGTTTATGGTAGATTTGTTGTGGCATTTACAGAAGGACATGGGAAATTTCTGAGAAGGAATAATTTCTGAGAACTGTGTTATAAAGGGTCAAAAGAAAAAAAACCTTGGCTAAATTGTGCATTACTACTTTGTGAAAAGAAGAACTTGTAAGCAAAGGACTTAGATATTTAACTGATGATAGTTTCAAGCCAACTGTTGAATGTGTAGCCTGGTTTCTTCTGGCTACTTAGAGCAAAATGTGAGAAAGACAAATTGAAGAAACTGTTAAGCAAAAAAGAATCAGAACATAATGATTTGGAAAATTCTCAGCCTATATGTTATCTCAAAAGATGTTAAAGCATGCTCTAAAGAGAATGCCGTGGTGTGGCTGGACAAACTTTTACTGGAGGTTTTAGGCATGCAATTTATGGATTCACTACATCATCCCAGCAGAATCCAGAAATGGATATGCAGTTGTACAGGAAAGATCTGGGAAGAATCCTTATTTATGACTAATGGCATGGAGCTCCTTGACGTACATCCACAACTAACAAGGTTCTACAGAATGTCATACCAGAAGAAACTCTGCGAATAGATCATACATAGAGTTTTACTCATACCTGAATTAGATAATATAGTTTGAACTTTTTGAGTTAATAATATTTAGATAACATTTGGGACATAGTGAAGACTTTGGAAATTTTGGAGTGGGATGAATGCATTTTTCATGGGGAATTGCATGAATTTTGGGGAAACAGGGTAGACAATGATCAGTTGAATAGTGTCCCCCCAAAATTCATATCCTGCCACCCATTTTGTGGTAATGTGTTATGCCAGTCAGTCAAAATAAGGACACAGGAAATTACCTTAGAAATAATAATTTCTGAGTTTAGGAAGCTTGATATCACATACCATACTCATTTTTGATAATACTTTGTCCTATTTTACCATTCAAATTTGTGACATTCTCCTCAACTAAAATAGAATTTAGATCAGCTTTTAAGCGAATATGTTATAGAAGTCTACCTGAGTCAAGTTCATGCATGGTGCTAACTTGTTGTGCATTCAACATTCAATTTCTTATCAAGATAGCATGTATAAACATTGTCTGGAATGTAATCAAACAAATAAAGTTACCCAGGACCAAACTCAACCTTTTGGTTGAAGCTTTAAAAAAAAACAAAAACAAAAACAAAAACAAAAACGGCCGGGCATGGTGGTTCACGCCTGTAATCCCAACACTTTGGGAGGCTGAGGAGGGCAGATCATCTGAGGTCAGGAGTTCGAGACCAGCCTGGCCAACATGGCAAAACCCTGTCTCTACTAAAAGTACAAAAATTACCCTGGTGTGGTGGCGGGTGCCTGTAATCCTAGCTACTCCAGAGGCTGAGGCAGGAGAATTGCTTGAACCCAGGAGGCAGAGGTAGCAGTGAGCTGAGATCACGCCACTGCACTCCAGCCTGGACGACGTGGCAAGACTCCATCTCAAATAAAATAAAATAATAAAATAAAATAAAATAGTTAACACAAGATTCATAAAATATATTTTATTGTACATTATACTTAATAATTGGTAACTTTTTATTGTTTATGTTGTAGTTTTTGTTGAACTTCAAGTAACCAGAAATCTTTTTAAAGTCCTGACTTAAAATTATTCCTTAGAAGGATGGGATAATTTTAAGTTAGGACTTCCTGGCTACATTTACAGAGACTCTCCTGGTTCGTAGACTAGAAACAGAAGGAAGCCTTAGTTTTCCTATGTGATAATGAAAAACAAAATCACCTGCCTTCATTGGGCACATACTCTCTTCAATTTTTTTATATGTATTTAAGAAATAAGTAAATGAAGAAATTCTTTTTTTTTTCCGTAAAATTGCTTTCTTTCTACTTTTCCTGGTGGTCAAAGGAGGTTTAAAAATATATTTCCTTCTTACTTCCTGCAGAACAACTGCAGGAGCTGTTCTGGGACATAAAACCAATAGTGAAATAGATTTGAAATAGCAGTTAATATAAAGAAGAGTATATGGTATAGCTAATATACAAGCTAATATAAAAGCGGAGTATATGGTATAACCTGTACTATGAATCATAACCCTGAGCACACTGACAAAAGAGTACATTTCCTTATTAGTTCAAGGACTATTGGTATCACTAAAAAGCAGAAAATCCTGAGTGTTTGCCTTAAATTATCAATAAAATATAAGATAACCTATTATCATGATAGCTCTGTATTTTGCTTTGATTTGGCATAAAAGAACAAGTATTTAGGTAAATTATGCAATATATATTTGATCAATATATTTCAATATTTTATTCCATTTTCAATTTATTCCTCAAATTAAAGTGTATGCAAATATAAAATCTATTATGGACAGAAAAAATAAAGTGAATCATAATACCGTGCATATTTAGTTCTTTATCCCAAATATTATGATATATCTCTTCAATCACAGTTTTTTGCCCTTATCCCTCCCACTCCAATCCTTATTGACTATGAGGCATTTTAATGACTCATCTTTATAGAGGATAGAGGTTGAGAAGGCAAAATTTGTTATTACAAATACATACCTCTTCCTGAACAGCTTGAAGAAAACCAAAAGCTTATTACCCTATTCTCAAAGCAAGCAAAATGAGGAACATTGCAAATTTTAAATATAATTTATTCAACCACTTGTTCACACATTTTGATACATTAATAGTATTATCTTAAAGATAGGGTAATGTAGAAATATAATATCAAGAGATGATTTATATCTGTATGTTAATGTATAGATGTAGATACTTAGAGAGATATACAGAGAGAAAGAGAGAGAGAGAACTATGTCTTCATGGCCTGTGGATGGGAGAGTCAGAGTTGGTGTTGGTGAAGGTAACTAGAAATGGAAAAGAGAGAGAGAATATTTCGGATTTCATGGCCCCACTTTTTTCCTCTTAAAGCTTTGAATTGTCAATTAGTTTCATTTTGTTTTGAAGGTATATTCTTAATGGAAATAAAGATTCCAACCCTGATGGTATCTGTACTAGTATCTGTAAGTACTTCTAGTCTGATGTTAATGTAAAAAGTAGGTATCTTTCCATGATTAGTATTGTTTTACTGAATTTTAGTTCTTAAAGCTATGAAATATTTATTAGGTGGCTGAGTTGATACTCTAATTGTGCATAATGAGGTGCATACAAGCTAGTTTTGAAATCTCTAACCAAGAGCATTTAGTGCAAACATGAACTTTATTTTGAGGTTTATATTATTTTGAGTTATTTATATTTTCATAAATATTAAAAGTTTATGTATACACACATACATGCATGCATAACAGACATACACATGCATATATACACACACACAAATATGCACCTAGCAGAACACAAGCATAAACCTCAAAATGCTATAGATTTTGTCATTTAGTTGGGGAGCAGATTTGCAAAAAATACTGTGTATCCCTATATGAACATGTTATTTCTTCCCAAACTATACATGTTTATAAAATTTAATAAGGGATTATTGAGAAATCTGGTCTCAGATTTGTGAAGGCTTCTATAAATTGAAGCACTCTTCTTTCTTTTACTAAAGTTCATCTGGTGATTTAGACATTACTTTGGACAGTTTTTACATCACTTTCAGTTTAGCTGTTTACCAAAATTAGGAAAATTTGAAATTAGATGACTTAACAATCATACTTATATTTTGTCAACCTGATTCATGAGCATGCTCAAAATGGCTTGTGCCTTTAAAATAGACCTGAAACACTACATTCTTAAAATAAACATTTCAAAGTATTTGTAAAAACTCAGCCATTAATTAATGTGAACTATTTTAAATTAATAAACACACTATAAATTTAAGTATGTGATCGCCTCAGTTTTAATTTATTTTCTAGCAACTACCTTGGTGGAAACTCAATTACATCATATTCATGGGAACTTAACATAAGTCTTCCATCTAAAGCAGCAAAAGTTTCCATGTAAGGTCCACTGACAAAATGCAGCTACTGTGATTTGGAGGCCAAATTGTCCTGCAATTTTTAGCAAAGGAAATTATGCCTCAGTTAACACAACTGAGAGGTGTTGGATATGTTCTAAATACAACAGATGACATATCCACAATGAAAAATTATTTATAAATTAAGAAATAGAATAAAACTAAACCAAAACCAAGAAAACTTTTATGTGTTCAACAATGATATATCAGGAAATTTTGACATAATACCAGTAAATTAGATACATTTTAGATTGGATGAATTTAAAGAAATATGTGTGTATATGCATATATGCATATGCACACACCCACATACATAATATATATGTTATATATATATGACATATATACATGTTTGTACACACATTTTGGTAAAAATATTTTGATCTATCTTTCTTATAGAGGAGTTTTTGGTTTTAATGAAAAATTCAACTATTTAAAAACTATAACCAAACTCTTAGTGGTGTATAGCCAGTTCTGTGAAAGTGCATTTCGCTCTTAATAAAATATTGCTTCTTAAAAAGATAAGCAAAGTCAACAAACAGTAAGAGAGGCTAATTAGGAAATAAAGAGAGAAGACACAAACAATATTACGAATGAGAAAGAAGACATTACAGCTGATACCATAAAAAGACAAAGGTTTATTAGAAACTATTATGAACAATTATATGGCCACAAATTAGAAAACTGGGAGGAAATGGATAAGTTGCTGGACACATATAACCCACCGATATTGAACCAAGAAGAATTAGAAAATGTGAACAGACTAATAATGAGTACCAACATTAAATCAGTAATGAAAACTATCCCAACAAAGAAAGAATTAACAATATTTCTTCTCAAATAGTCCAAAAACTTGATAAGAAAAAAATTCTTCCTAATTTGTTCTATGATGCCAGCATTTACCTGAAATCAAAACCAGAAGATAAAATGGCTCACTAGATGCAGTCACTAGTAATATCTGCCACTGAGAGACCGGGACATTGGGAAGACTAGCACACTTCAAGCAGATCTTTGAAGGGGAGGAATCAAGAGTAGACACAGGGAGGACACAGATGTTAGGCTGATTAGGGAGGAAGCCGGGAACCCTGCATGGGGCTACAAGCACTGAGACAAGTTCCTGGACCCAAGAGACTCCTGGAAAATGTGTGAGTTGAACAGATGAGGAAGGCCCATTTCTGACATGGACTTTGGAAATCTTGGCAGCAGGAGACACCATGACCTCCATGGACACTTGAGCTGGCAGGGAGAGATGTTTAGAAAGATGGTAAGGGCAGGACTCCACCCTCAGCAGAGCCCACAGGACTTGGTGTGGGAACATCTGTTTTGGGGTATAGCCAGGGATACCCAAACCTCAAGGCTTAGATTATTCCTATAGGAGACTTTTGCCTTGGAGTCACTGTTGGAACTGGACAGAGCAGGGTGGTCTTAACTGTGAGAATGAGTCTTTCTAATTTGAGCACCTCCTTGTCTGTTGGCTTCTCTCAGGGCCCCAGCCTGGTCATGCCTGCTTGCAGTTCAGCCTTGGATGCCCAGTGATGGTGCTTCCTGGGGGACTTCTTCACAGAAGCTTCATTGGCAGAGACCACACCTTACTGTCTAAGAGCACCAGGAGAGTGATCCCCACTGACACACATCAGTTTACCTGCAAACTTACCCCAATACAGTCTCCCTCACAGTGCAGGCACGAACTTGCCCATGGCCACCCCTCCAAAGCTTTGATGGCGCATGTGCAGGTGGGCCTTGCCTCCACTCCCCTGCTAGCATGTGTGTGAGCACCATGTTGATGCATGGGCACCCAGTCACAATGCCATTGCTGGAACCAACATGCACAGATACTTGCATCCTCGCCACATGCCACACTGCCACTGCCACCAGTGTAAAGCTGTGCACAGATGTTGGCAACCAGGTACTCCATGGGGCTTCCACTGCTGCTGGTATGAACACATGCACAGAGGGTGGAAGCCCCATGCCTGCCAACACCCTGCCACTGCTGCTGCCAGTGCAGGCATGAGTGCAAGCACGGACACTGGCAACCCTAGCCCAGCCAGTGCCCAGTCCCTTCCACACCACTGTCACTGGTGTGAGTATGCACAGGAAGACTGCAGCCCCACCCTTGCTAGTACCCCACCACAGCTGTTCATGTTGCTGCAGCTGTTGGCACAAGGAAGCAAGCAAAGATCCCATTGCCACTGCCTCAAAAAAAATTTTGGTTGGCACAACCTACTGGAGTGCTGTGGCCAGTGTACCAGGAACACCATGAGCCCCCTCAGCACAGCGTATTCCTAAAGTCAAGGGGCCAGAGAAAAAAGATGGATGCCAAGTACTAGCACCCCACCCCCACCTCAAGTTAGAGCACACAGCCCAGGAGTAGTGAGCTGAGTCCTGGTCCCCTAAAATTTTCTGGAATTGAAACCAGTTTGCTGAATCCATCTATACCACAAACCCTAAAAGGCATCAAAGAATATAAAAGCAAAAATCCCATTGAAGGGATAGCAACTTTAAAACATTGAAGGAATACCAGCCCTCACTGATTAGAAAGAACTAGTGCAAGAATTCTGGAAACTCAAAAAGCCAGAGCATCTTCTCAGCTCCAAATGACTGCAGTAATTCCCCAGCAAAAGTTCCTAACCAGGCTGAAATGTCTGAAATGACAGAAACAGAATTCAGAATATGGCTAGAAACTAAGATCATCAAGATTCAGAAGAAAGCTGAAACCAAATTGAAGAAATCTAAAGAATACAGTACAAAGATGCAGGAGATGAAACAACATTTTAAGAGAGAACCAAATTGATCTGATTGAGCTGAAAAAATTACTTCAAAAATTTTATAATCCAATTGCAAGTATTAACAGCAGAATGGACTAAGCTGAGGAAAGAATCTCAGGGCTCAAAGACTGGACCTCTGAAATAACTCAGTCAGATAAAATGAAGAAAAAATAATAAAGACAAATGTACAAAGCCTCTGAAAAATATGGGATGAGTGAGTTTGGTTAAAGAAATCAAATCTATAATTCACTGGTGTCCCTGAAAGAGGGAGAGAAAGCAAGCAACTTGGAAAACATATTTGAAGATATTGTCATGTAAACTGTCCCAATCTCATTAGAAAGGTCAGTATTCAAACTCAATAAATGCAAAGAACCCTTGTGAGATACTATATAAGACAACCATCCCAAAGGTACATTGTCATCACATTCTTCAAGGGCTAAATGAAAGAAAATATGTTAAAAGTAGCTAGAGAGAAGGGGCAGGTTATGTAAAAATAAACCACATCAGACAAACAGCAGACATTTTAGCAGAAACCCTACAAGCCAGAAGAGATTGGGTGCCTATATTCAGCATTCTTAGGAAAAAGAAATTCCAACTAAGAATTTCATAACTAGCCAAACTAACTTAATAACCAAAGGAGAAATAAGATCCTTTTCAAGTGAATGCTAAGGGAATTCATTACCATCAGACCTGATTTACAAGAGGTTCTTAAGGGAGTGCTAAATGTAGAAAGGAATGACCCTTATTGGCCACCATAAAAACACACTTAAGTGCATAGAACATTGGCACTATAAAGCAGCCACACAATCAAGTCTGCATGATAAACAGCTAACAATACAATTACATGATTAAATCTGCACATGAAAATAATGAGCTAAATATCCCAATTAAAAGGTACAAAATAGCAAGTTGGATAAAGAAGAAAGACCCAATTGTATGTTGGCTTCAAGAGAGCCATCTCACATGCAATGACAAGCATAGACTCCAAGTAAAGGGGAATAGAAAAATTTACCAAGAAAACAGAAAAAGGCATGGGTTGCACTTCTAATAATTTCAGACAAAACAGACTTTAAACCAACAACAGTAAAAAAAGACAAAGAAAGGATTTACATAATATAATGGTAAAGGGTTCAATTCAACAAGAAGACCCAACTGTCCTAAATATATATGCACCTGACACAGGATCAACCAGATTCATTCATAGAGCAAGTTCTTAGATACTTAAGAAGAAAGTTATATAACCAAATAATAATAGTGGAAAATTTCAACACCCCTTTGACAGTATTAGACAGATCATCAAGGCAGAAAACTAACAAAAATTAGCTATATAATTAACTATAGCTATATAATTATATAGCTATTAATAATTAATAACTATAGCTATATAACTAGATTATTTGGAACTTGAGCTCAACACTTGACCAAATTGTCCTAACAGACATCTACAGAACTTTTCACCCAAAAACATGGAATATATATTCTTCTCATCTGCATATAGCACATAATCTAAAATCCACCCACAATCAACCATGAAACAATCCTCAGCAAATTAAAAAAAAAAAAACTAAAACTATACCAAACACACTCTCACACTACAGCACAATAAAAATACAAACTAATATTAAGAGAGTCATTCAAAACCGTACAATTATGTGGAAATTAAACAGTCTGAATGACATTTAGGTAAATAATGAAATTAAGGCAGAGATCGTGAAATTCTTTGAAACTAATGAGAACAAAGATTTAACATACTAAATCTCAGAAACACAGCTAAAGTAGTATTAAGAGGGAAGTTTATAGCAATAAACACCCACATCAAAAAGTTAGAAAAATCTAAAATTAGGAACCTAAAGTTACATCAAGAGGAACTACAGAAACGAGCAACCCCAACCCCCCCAAATTAGCAGAAGACAAGAAATAACCAAAATCAGAGCTAAACTGAAGGAAACTGATATATGAATAAACATGCAAAAGATAAATGAGTCCAATAATTGGTTATTTGAAAGAATAAATATCATCGATGGATGACTAACTAAACTAATAAAGAAAAAAAGACCAAATTACTACAGTCAGAAATAACAAAGGGGACATTACCATTGACCACACAGAAATTTAAAACAAAAACAAAAAACAGAGACTACTATAAACACCTCTGTGAATACAAACTAGAAACCACAGAAGAAATGGATAAATTCCAGGAAACATAACCCAAGCTTGAACCAGGAAAAAAATAAATCCCTTGACAGACCAATAAGAAGTTCCTAAATTGAATCAGGAATAAAAATCCTACCAACCAAAAAAATCCCCAGGACCAGATGGATTCACAGCTGAATTCTACCATATATATATATATACACACACACATATACACATATATATATAAATAAAAAATATATATAATATATCATATATATAATATATCATATATAATATATCATATATATACCATATATATGATATATATATTTTTATATCAACTGGAATCATTCCTACTGAAAGTATTCCAAAAATCAAGGAGGATATACTCCTCCCTAATTCACTGCATGATGCCGGTGTCATCCTAACACTAAAACCTGTCAGAGACAGAACAAAAAAAATAAAATTTCAAGGCAATATCTTTGATGATCATAGATGCAAAGATCCACAATAAAATACTAGCAAACCAAATCCTGCAGCACATCAAAAAAGTACAGTCAACTAGGCTTTATTCCTGAGACGCAAGGTTGGATCAACATATGCAAATCAACAAATGGGATTCAGAAGTAAAAATAAAAGCCCCATGATCATCTCAATAGTTGCAGAAAAGTCTTTTGATAAAATTCAACATCTTTTCATGTTAAAAATCCTCAAAAAACAAGGCATCAAAGATACCTACCTGAAAATAATAAGAACCATCTATGGCAAATCCACAGCCATCATCATACTGAATAGGCAAAGGCTGGAAACATTCTTCCTGGGAACGGAAACAAGATGAAGGTGCTGTCTCTCACCACTCCTTTTCAACACAGTACTGAAAGTCCTTGCCAGAGTAATTAATCAAGAGAAAGAAATAAAGGGCATTCAAATAGGAATAGAAGAAGTCAAACTATTTCTGTTTGAAGAAGATGTAATTCTATATCTAGAAAACTCCATAGTCTCTGCACAGAAGCTTCCCAATCTGAAAACAGCTTCCACAGTTTCAGGTTACATTATCAATGTGCCAAAATCAGTAGTATTTCTATACACCAACAATATTCAAGCTGAGAGCGAAATCAAGAATGCAATCCCATTCACAATAGCCACAAAAGAATAAAATACCTAGAAATACAACTATCCAGTGACATAAAAGACCTCTACAACAATAATTACAAAACTCTGCTGAAAGAAAGCAGAGATGACACAAACATATGGAAAAACATCCCATGCTCAAGGATAGAAAGAATCAATATTTTTCATATGGCCGTACTTCTCTAAGCTGTTTACAAATTCAGTGCTACTCCTATAAAACTACCAAAGATATTCTTCACAGAATTTGTTCACTATTTTAAAATTTGTATAGAAAAAAAAGGAGACCCAATTGTCAAGCCAGTCCTAAGCAAAAAGAACAAAGCTAGAGAAATCATACCCAACTTCAAACTATATTATAAGGCTAATTTAACAAAAGCAATATAACACTGACAAAAGAACAGACACATAGACCCATGGAGTAGAAGAGACCACAAAGTTTTCAAAAACAAGCAATAGGGAAAGGACTCCTTATTCAATGAATGGTGCTGGGATAACTGGCTAGCCATATGCAGAAGATTAAAACTGGACCCATTTCTTTACACTATATAGAAAAATCATCTCAAGATGTGTTAAATACTTCAATATAAAACCTAAAATTATAAAACCTCTAGAAGAAAATCTAGAAAATACCATCCTGGACGTAAGCCCTGGCAAAGATACAACGATGAAGAAGCCAAGCAATGACACTAAAAATAAAAATTAATAAATGGGACCTAATTAAACTAAAGAGTGCCTGTATAACAAAAGAAACTATCAACAGAATAATCAGACAACTTACAGAAGAAAATATTTACAAACTATGCCTTTGACAATGGTCTAATATCCAGAATATATAAGAAACTTAAACAAATTAACAAGCAAAAATCAAATGACTCCATGTCTCAATAGCAAAGACATGGAATCAATTTAAATGCCCATTAATAGTAGGCTGGGTTAAGAAAATGTGTGATATATACACCGTGAAATACTACAAAACCATGAAAAAGTATGAGATCATGTCTTTTGCAGCAACATGGGTGGAGCTGGAGGCCATTATTCTAGGCAAACTTGCACAGGAATGGAAAATCAAATACCGCATGTTCTCACTTATAAGTGGGTGCAAAACATTGAATACGCATTGAAAAAAAGAATATAACAACAAACACCAGGGCCTACTTGAGGGTACAGAGTGGGAGAAGGGTGAGGATTGAAAAACTATTGGGTTCTTTTCTTATTACCTGAGTGAAGAAATAATCTGTACACCAAACCCTCATATTATATATAACCTACATGAAAAACCTGCACGTGAACTCCTGAACCTCAAATAAAAGTTTAAAAAACAAAAACAAAAAAGGACACATTAAAAAAACCACATATTCCCATATTCCTGATGAACATAGATGCAAAAAAAAATCAACAAAATACTAGCAAACAAAGTCCAACAGCACATTAAAAAGATAATACACTATGATCAAATGGGATTTATTTCAGGGACACAAGATGGTTCTACATACACAAATCAATATATGTTACACATCAGATCAGCAGAATAAAGGATAAAAACCTTACTGCTTGATCATCTCAAAAAATGCAGAAAAAGCATTTTATAAAAGTTAACATTCTTCCTGATGAAATCTCTTCATAAATCTGGTATAGAAGGAACATACCTCAATACATAATGGTCATAAATGACAAACCCACAGATACCATCATAGTAAATGGGGAAAAGCTGAAAGATTTTGATCTAAGAACTTGAATGGGACAAGAATACCCATTTGTACTACTCTTATTTAATATGGTACTGGAAGTTCTAGCCAGAGCAATTCGACAAGAGAAAATAATAAATGGCATTCAAATTGGAAAATATAAGGTAAAGTTGTTCATCTTTGCAGATAGCATGACCTTATACGTAGAAAACCTAAAGATGCTACCAAAAACTGTTAGAATTAATGAAATCTGAAATGTTTCAGGATATGAAATCAACTTAGAAAAATTAGTAATATTTCTATATAACAACAAAAAGTGCCTGAAAAAGAAACCAAGAAAGCAATCCTATGTACAGCAGTAACAAAAACAAAACTAAAATGTCTAGAAAAAAATTTAACCAAGGGGATCAAATATCTCTACAATGAAAACTAGCAAATGCTGATGAAATAATTTGAAAAGGACACAGAAAAATGGGAAGATATTTTATGCTTATGGATTGGAATAATTAATATTGTTACAATGAACATACTACCCAATGAAATCTCTAGAAAAATATCAATGATATTATTCATAAAAATATAAAAAAGAATACTGAAATGTATGTGAAACCACATAAAACATTGAATAGTCAAAGCAATGCTGAGCAAAAAGAACAAAGCTGAAGGCATCACACTACCTGACTTTAAAATGTACTATAAACCTATAGTAATTTAAACAGTATGGTATTTGTATAAAAACAAACACACAGACCAATGTAACAGAATATTATAGCTAACGATATCCATATTTTCTGATGAAGGTGTCAAGAAAATTGCAGATAGGACAGTGTATTCAATGAATGTTGCTGAAATAAAATGGATATCACTATGCAGAATAATACTAGATGCTGCTCTCTCACCATATACATACATCAATTCAAAATGGATAAAAGAATTAAACATAAGACCTGCAACTACAGGCTGGGTGCGGTGGCTCACGCCTGTAATCCCAGCACTTTGGGAGTCTGAGGTGGGCAGATCATGAAGTCAGGAGATTGAGACCATCCTGGCTAACATGGTGAAACCCCGTCTCTACTAAAAATACAAGAAATTAGCCACACGTGGTGGCGGGTGCCTGTGGTCCCAGCTACTTGGGAGGCTGAAGCAGGAGAATGGCATGAACCCAGGAGGCAGAGCTTGCAGTGAGCCAAGATTGCGCCACTGCACTCCAGCCTGGGTGACAGAGCAACACTCCTCAAAAAAAAAAAAAAAAAAAAAAAGACCTGCAACCACAAAAGTTCTAGAAGTGAACCAAAGAGAAATACTTGGTCAAGAAATAAACTTCAATATAGACCAATCAATTATATCAAACTCAACATTTTAAAAAATCTGACACAAATGGGCAAAGATTCCAAATAGAAACCTCTCAAAAAAAGGCATATAAATAATCAGAAAGTATATAGAAAAAAATGCTCAACATTACTTATAATCAGGGACAGGCAAGTCAAAACAACAATAAAATATCTTACTTCACAATGGTTATAAAAAAAATATGTAACTAACCTGCACAATGTGCACATGTACCCTAAAACTTAAAGTATAATTAAAAAATAATAATAATAATAATAGTAATAATAATAAAATAGCTCTGTGGACTCTGAAAAAAAAAATTAGCCAGGCATGGTGTTGCGCACCTGTAATCCCAAAAAGAAAAAAATAAAAAATAACAGTTGCTGGTGAGTATGTGGAGAAAAGTGAACTCTTACACTGCTGGCGGGGATGTAAATTATTAGAGCCATTGTGGAAAACAGTATGGAGGTTTCTCAAAATACTACAAAATAGAACTACCATATGACCAAACATTTTCACTACTTGGTATTTATTCAAAGGAAGGAAAATCAGTATATGAAAGAACTACCTATACCCTCATATTTATTATAGCCCTCTTCACCATAGGCAAGATATAGAATCAGCCTAAATGTCTGTCAACAGATGGATGGATAAAATATTATATATATATATGTACAACAGAATACTATTTAGCCATAAAAAAGAAGGAAAAGAGTGAACAAAAAGAAAGTTTGAAAGGGATTTCAAACAATCAAACCAAAAAGTATGTGATGTATGAACATTAGAAAAAATGTAGAGTGATGATAAGCCATTCAAGATTTAGATAAGGTCTTTTAAGCTGGGATAGATTTGGGCATATGGAATGCTACTGAAAAGGGCCAGGACATGGATAAATAGAGCCTATGTAAAGAAAAAATAACATGACATTGATAATAAATATTTATTCAATGGTAGGCTAAATGGTGAGGGTGGTGGCAGATAAAAATATTTTCATTATATTAAGAAGAGACTGAGATCTATGGAGAAAAAAAGAGCTTTATTTTTTATTAAAAAGAGGAATCTGCAGATTGGAGAGAATGAGACTTCACTGCAAACAGAAAATGTGCTTCAATGAGAGGTTGTAGAGTTAGAGATCATAAAGGTACAAAGTGCAGGGCAGGAGAGGGGAGTCAGGAGAATGAGGAATAGTCTTGATTGGATCATCTTTAAGCCTAAAATCACCACTCTCTTTTAATTGGCTGATTTCAGATGATCAGTCAGTTGGTGCTAGGTGGTCTGTGGGTGGTCACTTGGGAAATTTCCAGCCACATTAACCAGTTTGGCTTGATTATAAAGGATTATAAATCATTCTATTATAAAGACAATGCACACATATATTTATTGCGGCACTATTCACAATAGCAAAGACCTGGAACCAACCCAAATGTCCATCAGTGAAAGACTGGATAAATAAAATGTGGCACATGTACACCATGGAATACTATGCAGCCATAAAAAAGGATGAGTTACTGTCTTTTGCAGGGACATGGATGAAGCTGGAAACCATCATTCTCAGCAAACTAACACAAGAATAGAAAACCAAACACTGGATGTTGTCACTCATAAGTGGGAGTTGAACAATGAGAATACATGGACACAGGGAGCAGAACATTGCACACTAGGCTCTGTCGGGGGGTGAGGGTCTAAGGGAGGGATAGCACTAGGAGAAATAGCTAATACCTTAGGTGATGGGTTAATGGTTGTAGCAAACCAGCATGACACGTGTATACCTATGTAACAAAACTGCACGTTCTACACATGTACCCCAGAACTTAAAGTATAATAAAAAATAAAAATACAAATACAAATAAACAAACAGGACAATTTAAAAAAAAATAACTGTAGATATCATGTGTTTCTCAGATACACCTTCCATCAATTATTTGTTCTTTCTAAAGAAAGCATTACCCTTATGACTATTCCAATAAGGTTTGAGTTGTTAGTTTCAATGAATCTAAAGTTCTGTATATTAATATTTTACAGGAAAATTGGATGAGACTAATAGATAATCTTTAAAAGAAACTAACAAAAATCCTATTAACTACCGACAACCCTTAACTCTGCCTGCTTAAAGCCATTAAACTTTGGGAGAAAAACCAGATTGAGTGGAGATACCCCTCTTATGTTTATGGTAATGAATGCCTAAGAATACAGATAAACATATCTCCAAGTAAGCATGCGTGTGTTATTTTTGGCTTTGTGCTGCATTTCTATTACAAAAGCAATTAAGTATTAGAAATAATGCATTTAAATAACTTTTATGTCTAAGTAGATATATTGAAATGATTAATATATTACCTTTCATAGAATAATTATCACTGGATTTTATACTATATCACTGGATATAGTATAACAGCTCTCCCTTTTATACTATATGTAATGAACTTAATAATAATTAGAATAGAGAATTACATATCCCCTGTTTAAGAGTATGACTCTGAACAGTTAGACATAGATATACAGGTAGACATACATATTTTCAGTATCATACTGAAAATAATAAAAATATTTTTATTGAAAATTTGAGCAAAGATAGAGATGAATACATGGTATACTAACCAACAGATATCTCAGTCAGAACTTGGTATTAATCATATTGCACATGCTAAACATATTTTGCCCATGGGTTAAGAGTATACATCACTGTTTTTTACACTTACATCAGAGTAAAGGAGCAATGCAAATAGAATTTTTACAGGAACTGATTGTGGTCCGGTCCTCTGGAGAATAAATTATAGTGGTTTCTGGAGAAAAGGAATTAAATGTGTGTGGGTAAAAATTTTAGATCCCAATAGGGGTCATCAAAAATGTATAAACCATAAATGACTAGCAGACAAAGGTATCTTATTTTGCAAATGGAGAAGATATTAGTTGCATAATGAAAATAAAATGCTTCTCCTCCTCTCTCTCTCTGTTGAGGAAATTTGCCTCTGAATTTGGCCTTGAGATAGTTTATGCACACCAGTAAATGCAAGAATTAGCAAAGTATTTCTTTTTCAGAGCAAAATCCCTAAGCAGGAAGCAACAAACATTTTCTAGGAAATTTTTCAACTAAACAAAAGGCTAGGCAGCTCAAGTTAAGTTGGTTTGAAGTCTTAGCTTGTTATTTCCCCCAACAAACTGATTACTTGCATTGGAATTACAGAAATAGATATGCTGCCACTTCCTTTCTAAGATGAATGCTAATGTATTCTGCCTGCTAGAGCAATATTCAAAACAACCCACAAAATGAGCTATCAACCCATTTCAAAAACAGTTTGAAATCTACTCTGAATATTAGTCTACAAAATATAAATGCAAAATCTTATGGCTACCAGGAACTTCCAAAGGTCATTTAACATCCCAGCTTTCATATATTCTAAATGGAATAAACACATTCCATTATTCATTAGTTTATTCAACAGTATTTGATGTATGCCTGCTATGTGCCAGTCATTGTATTGTGGTCTGGACATAAAGAATGAATAAACCTAACTCTTACTATAAAGTTTTTGTCTGTGAGTTAGAAGGATCACGTTGGTTAATCATTTTTAAATGTTTTTATTTGATGTGATAAATATCGATTTTGAAATCACTGCAAAGTAATATGAGACTGATTTGGAAGGCAACCTAATTCTGCCTGAGAATTTAACACAGTTTAGCTGGATCTTGGCAGATGTTGGCATTTATTGGGAAAACGAGGATTTTCCAAAAGTAGAAATAGATGTAGATATAATCTTGCTTTATTTCTATTTGACAGTAATGCCTTAGAGGGATCCATCCCTCTCTCTGAAATGTGGCATTTTGGGGTTAAAATAAGTTTTCCACGACATTCCTGAAATAGTTGATCTATGGCTACACATCCTAGATAGCCTTAAGTTCTCTATTCTTCTAGAGGTGCAGGCAATTATTACATATTTGTCCTCTATAATTTCTCTTTTTCCTTTGACAATTCCTCCACAATTCACACTCCTAACTCCCATCTTCACTTGCTACTTCATAGAGAAAATTAAAAAAGTCAGAGGATAGCTTAGATTAATTTGTATCACTATATCAAACCATTTCTACTTCCAAATTCTCTAACCTTTCCTGATGTTCAAAATGTATAAGTAGTCAATGTTCCTAGCTAAGGCCAATCCTAACAGCTGTTCGCAACGTTCTTACTAATTGCTCAAAAACATTTCTCCAGGGCTTTTTACATCTCTCTCTCTTACATCGTAATTTTTCCCTTTTATTGAATCATTCCCTTTAGAATAAGAATTTTACCGTATTATAAATAAATGTTCTTATTTTTCTCCCATTCTTAAATAAATAAATCTTATGATCTCGTTAATTCATAGTCCATCTGTTTTTTATTTAATCTTCCGTAGAAAATGTCGGAGAAAGATTTGCCTGTAAACACACACCTTAATTTATTTCCTCTTTGTCTCTCTTGAATTCATTCTAATTAGATTTTCATGCCCACCACTCCACTAAACTGTACTTCTCGATGTCATTAATACTATTGCTAAAAACCTTGGTTACTTCACTATCTTCATTTATCTTATATTTTGATGGAATTTAACTAAGTTAATTTCTTTTCTTTCTTTGAACACTTTCTTTTCTTGGATTCTAGAAATTACTCTCATCTGGTTTTCCCAAATTTTTGTCCACTCCATCTCAATTTCCTTTGTTAGTTTATTAGTATTGCCCCACATTTAAAGATTGAAGTATCTCAGGTAGGGTTGAGACAATGGTGATGCAAATGACCAATTTATACATTTCTAGAATATTCTAATTAATTTTATTTGTTCAAAACTGCTATATATTTCATAGAACCTTTACTTCTTTTTAAAATATTAGATTGTACTTTATATCTTTACGTTTTGGGTATGTTTTTCTTGAATACCTTCCTTGTTAGTAGAGTTCAAATTTTGCTCCTATTATCTGTAAATTCTCTAAAAGATTTTCATGGGATTTGGTTGTAACCCTTTTCTATTCCTTCTTATATTCATTCTCAAGAGCAATGAGTTTCCGTATACTTTTAGGAGAGAGTAAGAATCATTGCCCTAGAGCTATCTTTACTCTCAGGTTCACAAAGCAATAGGGGGGAAAATCACATTTTTTGAACTGCCTTCTGTCCTTCTTTCCCCTGTATTTAAGTGAGCACCCTATTCCCTTCCCTAAACTATCCCTGTCCAATTCAACTTGTATTTTCCTTCAGAGTTTCTTCTGAGTAGAAACACTTTGGCTTCAAAGAAAGCTTTATTGTGTTAAATATCGGTATTTAAGTGTCTGCTGTATCCCAACACTCTTAGGCATTATCACATCATTGACCCTTTGAACTGACTTGAAAATTTTGTTAGAATAGAAACTGTTTTCAGATTGGTGCAATTTACTTTCAATTTGGGGATTTTCCTGACACTTTAATGAGATAACCAATTAGTTAACAATCAAATCTAAATGACAAAAACTTTCTTTCCCTGCACTATTTGTTGAACAAAAAATTGAAGTGGACATTCAAAGAACCAAGAATCTAAGACAATATTGACAAAGAATGAGTTGGCAGTAAGATGGACTTGCCCAACACATAAAAAACACAGGTTCTAATTCTAATGTGAAGATAATTGAGAAATTAGTTTATTCACAGAGGAATAGATTAATGGATCAGTGAAAGAAAGTAGGCAGCTCAAAAGTAAATAAATACACACTCAATTTCTGTCAGATCAGGCATTTTTAAAAAGTGGGAAACAAAGGAGTCATTAAATAAATCAAGGATAAATAATTGCTTAACTTTGTGATAAAAATGATATTTCATCACTGACACATGTCAAATAATTTCCAAGTATTTAAAAAATTTCATTATAAAGGCAAAATTGAAAAATGTAGAAGGAAATCTAAAAAAAACTTTTCTGACATTATTGCAAGGCAGGATTTGTTTAAAAAACATAAAAGACACAAGTGTAAAGGAAATTTGATCAACTTTACTATGTTAAGGTTAAGAACATCTGGTTATCAGAAGGAAAATAAAGTAAAAATTCGGGCCATAAGTTTGAAAAAAGCATGTATAGTAATTATTTCTTACACATAATTAATTTAAACTATCAAAGATGTACTATAAATCAGTATAAAAAGACAACTAAATAAAATATCAAGTTGATAGAAGTAAAATTTTTTTGTTGCCAAAACAATAGATAACAATAAGTCTTAAATAGTAGTCAATAAAATTTGGTGTTAATTTATAATTAATTAACAGTATAATTAGTTTTCTCAAAGAGGCCATAGTCTCCTAACAACTTTAACATTACATTAACTCATTAAAATGTAAAAGTTCTTACATTTCATATTTTTTTGAGGTGGAAAATTATCTTTATACTCTGGAACTCCATGAAATAATACTATAATATAAATTGTGAGAATTCTGTATGCAAATTAGATGTTCACTGTAAAGAATACACTAAGGTGTCACTACACAATATCTCCAAATTTTATACATAACTAATCATTCAGAGAGGAAGTTGTGTAATGTAATGTAAAAGTAGTTCATAATATCCACAATGTAGGCAAAATTGTATATTTCGTTTCATTTCTCTTTCTTCTTCCTGGAAAAAAAGAAAAAGTGAGCTCTGATAGTGGATTTGCAGCTTACTATGTTTCATAAATTGTTATGAAAATTCAAAATTTGGCAAAATATCTGCACAAGAGCTACTGAAGCCATAACACAGAGATATTAGTTACAGGAAACAAACAAAACATACAGAAAATTAATAATTTCATCGAGTAAATTTTGATGAGAAGAAAACTAAAGTAATTGACTTTGCTAAATTAATTGAGACATTATAAATAATTCACTTCGATAAATATGAATATGAATTTGAATCTAGAGTTGAAAAATATTAACTTATTTTTGCCATATGGTTACAATTACATTGGCACGTTTTAATTGTTTTCAAATACATAATGAACCTAAAAACACACTGCATAGCATTGTACTTTGGTTCATACATCAGGACTATTAATAGATTAAGAAAACTATTACTTTGGATTATAACTTTGACCTCATCCATGTCAATATCATATAATAAATGTCCCAACAATGAATAAAAAGCAGAATGCTAGGCCAGATGCTGACTGCAATCCAGAAGTCTTCTTTCTGAATAGAAGAGTGAAACTTTAGGCATAGGATAATAATTAACCTCTTCAGAATAGCTGCAAGCACATGTGAAGGCTGAAGGTGAGACTAAATGATTCCACATCCCATCCACTGATGCTACCCAGTCTTCTCTCTTCAAAGTTCCTTACTGTAAATATGTGTTTCTTCTCCAAACTTAGGGCTTCTAAGGCCAAAAAATGTATCTTACTATCTGTCTTAGTTAGTTGGGGCTGCTATCAAAGAATATCACAGACAGGATGAATTAAGCAATAAACACTTATTTCTCATAGTTCTGGACACTAGGGCCAAGATCAAGATGCATGCATATCTCGTATCTAGTGAAAGCCTGCTTATCATTTACTGACGGCTGCCTCCTCTTTGTACCTTCAAATGGTATGTGTAGAGAGATCTTGCACAACTTCCTCTTTTTATAAAGGCATTAATCCCATAATTAGGGCCCCACATCATGACCTAATCTAAATTTAATTACCCACCTTTAAATACCATCACACTGGGGATCAGGGTTTCAGCATATGAATTTTAGGGAGACACAAACATTCAGTCCATAGCACCGTCATTTTTATTCATTCTAACACCTACTTGTACTGCAAAAGATTTTTAAATGAAATATGGATGTTTGCCACATATTGAATTTCAAGTATGTCATTCCTCTGGAGTTTTCTCCAGCAAGATTTGAATTTGTTGGCTCTACCTAATGGTATTAATTTTAGATTATTTTTTCTCTCCACTCAAGATGATCTATAAAAACTTTTCCAGGCTTCTTAGATAATTTCCTTTCTGCAACTCTGTTTTGTCCTGTCACTTGCCTGTGAAACCCTAGTTTTCATATATTCTGGCTTAAATCAAAGGCCTAAGCATGCAAATTTTCAGGAGAGGAAATTAGAAACTAAGTTTAATTATTCTTACTTGTTTGTCATTACATATTTTAAAGGTTTTTATGTGTTCAATCTCCAACTCTGTTTTAGTAAATTAATGAGTTAATATATTGGCCTCTTATTGCTTTCATTGTACTCAGTAAAGAAACAATTTTATGTTTTGAAATTCCTTTATTCAGTAAAGAAACAATTTTATGTTTTAAAATTCCTTTATTAATATGTAGAATATAATATGATTTAGCTTCAACTTTTTACCCTTGTCACTTCATGAACTTGGAAACATGATAAATTAATAATATTGACCTATTTACTATTGAATTTATTTTTGTAGTTGAATATATTTGGCTTTTGTGAACTCTTCATTATAATTTGCATAATTAGTCCAGTACTCAAAACGGCAATTTAGCATTCATCTTCAGTTTTCATTGCAGTTAATTTTACCCTTAATTTTTTGATTTTTTCCTTTTTTGTATTAACTTCTTATAAATACCATATCTGTTGCTAATTACCATTTTCTATATGAAGGAAACATATTTTCTGACCTGTGCATTGAAACATAGCCAGTTAGCATTTGGTAGGGTCAGGGTTATATTTTTAGTCTATTTGGGCTGCTATTACAAACTAACATATACTGGGTAGCTTTTAAGCAACAGAAACTTATTTCTTGCAGTTCTGTAAGCTAGTTAGTCCAAGATCAGGCAAATTTGGTGTCTGCTGATGGTCAGCTTCCTGATAGACTGTTGTTTTCTCACTGTAACCCCACATCATGGAAAGGAAAAAGATTTCTCAGGCCTCTTTTATAAGGATACCAATCCTATGAGCTAATAACCTTCACACTTCTCACTTCCTAATGCCATTACCTTGGGAATTAGGATTTCAACATATGAATTTTGGGGGAATGCATTCAGACTACAGCACGTGTACTAAAAACAATACTGCTTTGTAGCCAGTGAGGTTCTCATTTTGCCTAGATGTTGGCATTTCATATGCTAGGGGGTATTATAAAACACACTTAATTTAATACATATTGATTATTTTCCTGTTATTTCTCCCTAGCAAGTCAAGTCTATTTTTGTGGGAGTTCAGGCAGGCTGGTGGGAAAAATTTTAAAAAGTTATAAGAAATAGACACAAACCTTCTTGGAAGTCCAGGGGGGTGGGTTGCATAACTTCAGTAATAGATCTGGCTGAAGGCAGCCTAATCCTCCTACCTTAAGTAAATAGCTTAAAGTAGGTACAAAGGAATGTAAGAGAGTTTATCTAAATAACTTGTTTACTCATGTGGTCCTAAAACTAACCTTTGTTCATTTGCAGGCAGGATGGCTCTCTCAGGGGGAGGGCAACCACGTTAATTACCCTGTAGTGGTGTTGACTTAAAGCCTTTGTCATTTGATGTGTGCTGAATAAATGCCAGCAGGCCCAGCAAGTCGGGGCTGCAGCTGCTACAACTCTTTTGGTCTGCAGCCTGGCCCCCTAGCCTGCTCTTTCACTGAATATTGGCGTCTGAGTATGTTGTTCATCCGTCATGCAGCTGGGGTCTGCAGGACAGACCCCAGCATATATTCATATATCTTCATTACAGAGTGGATGAGAAAAAATGATGGAGTACATTTTGTTGGGAATTTTTTCTTTCCTCTTCAAACTCAAACAACCTAGGCATCCAAACCATCACAAAGGGTTGTTGATTTTAGTTTAAATGTTTTTAAACATCATCCACTTTTAGTACACCCTAACAGGTAAGGCACACTGTCTTTTTCATATCATTTTCAATATCTGCTTTGCAGGTTCCTTTGCTTCCAGCTTTGATCCTCTACTGTCTGTTATATTCATTATGCCCTACTCATACTTCTAAAATCCAAGCACTAATATTTCACTCTAGAATATTTCAGTTGTATTCTTTTTCACTTTGGATTAATTCCAAACCCTTTATCGTGGTTTATGTGGCTTTTAATAAACTGGACTTTACCTACTAACACTTTTACTACTTAAAATCTCCATCTTACTACCAAAAACCTACTATCCTTAACCATATTTTGCTGCAGACATTATTAAAATTCTTCCATTTTAATAATCTTTAAGTGGACATTTATCAATCCACTTAAAATATGTCTAGTTGTGTTCTCTCTTCACAGAAAACTATCACTCAATTTTGTTTTCATACTTCCCCTCAACCTTATACACACTTGCCATGCCTTCTTCTTCTTCTTTTTTTTTTTCTTTTGAGTTGGAGTCTCGCTCTGTCACCCAGGCTGGAGTGCAATGGCATGATGTTGACTCACTGCAGCCTCTGCCTCCTGGATTCAAGCAATTCTCCTGCCTCAGCCTCCCAGTAGCTGGAATTACAGACACCTGCCACCACACCCAGCTAATGTTTGTATTTTTAGTAGAGACGAGGTTTCACCATGTTGGCCAGGCTGGTCTCAAACTCCTGACTTCTGGTGTTCCACCCTCCTCGGCCTTCCAAAACACTGGGATTACAGGTGTAAGCCACCATGCCCAGCACTAGCAATACCTTCTGCATGCCTAATCTCCCATCATCTTTCCTGTATCATCTTAAAATTTGTTACTTCACCAAGTACTATAGATTAAGTAATAACAATGCACATTTACTTTATTGTATATTTCTCTGTTTTTATTATTAAGCTGAGAAAGACACACGAAGTTTGGATTCATTCTGCCATCATTGGTTTCTAGCATTTGGCATCGTGTTTGATAATTTGGAAGTGCTTAATACATATTTGCTAAATGTTAAGTGGAAAGGATAGATTTTAAAAAGATATTTGTTTAGAGAGGTAGGGGTTGTATATCAGTAATAAATTATTAAGAGTTTATATCTAACCCTGGGGATGCGGCTTTAATTGTGTATTTTAAGTTTGGTGAGAGTACATCTCATGTGCTCACGACAGTAACACATGCACACACACAATGATTATAACGTCATGTGATGGATATGTCAATTAGCTTGATCATGGTAATCATTTTGTTACTGGAGGTCCTTGCTCACAGTGCTCCCAAGATGGTGGCGAGCCACTTCCAAGATGGTGGCAAGCCTTGTGTTCTCTGACCTGGGGTTCTTGGCTTCACCGATTCCAAGGAATGGAATCTTGGGCCATGTGGTGAGTGTTATAGCTCTACTAGAAGCCGTGGGTCATGGAAGAGAACCGGGGAACCCAGTGACTAGTGTTCAGCTCGATTAGGACGAACCCAGGCACTTAGCCGTGCAGGAACAATGGCAAGCCTTTAGCCAGATAGGGAGCAGCAATGGGTGCCTTGCTGGATCAGAAGCACAGCGGACACCCTGCCAGATCCGGAAGGATGGAAGCCAGCCGAGGGTCTGTGACGGTGGCAAACAGCAGTGGTAGACAGCAAGCGAAAGCTCAGCTCAAGCTGTAACAAACACGGAACAGAAGAGTGCAGTTGCAAGTTTTAATGGAATGAAATAGAGTGAAAACAGAGCTCCCATACAAAGGGAGGGGACCCAAAGGGGGTTTCCGTTGCCAGCTTGAATGCCTGGGTTTATATCCGGATCCTTGTCCCTCCTGCTGTGCTCTCAGGCAATAGATGATTGGCTATTTCTTTACCTACTGTTTTTGCCTAATTAGCATTTTAGTGAGCTCTCTGATTGGTTGGGTGTGAGCTAAGTTGCAGGCCCCGTGTTTAAAGGTGGATGGGGTCACCTTCCCAGCTAGGCTTAGGGATTCTTAGTCGGCCTAGGAAATACAGCTAGTCCTGTCTCTCAATTTTACAGTGCATGAATATATCAAGACATTGTGTTTTACACCCTAATGATATATAATTTTATTTATCAATTATATTTTTATAAAGCTGAAAAAAAATTTTCTAAGTGATCCTTAGTCAAACTGCAGTCAAGACAGAGTACAGCTTATTCTATGTAATGATATAGAACATTCACATGACTTTAAGTGGCTCTAGGTACACAGGCTTTTTGTATTTACTTACTATTGTATAAAGTGTAAGATAAAAATTCAGCCCTTGTGGTTAAATTCATTGTTTGGCCTCATTGGTATAATATTGGTAACAGCTTATTCATCCACTTCTCTCTACTTTCGTTGCCTGTGGCCACACAAATTCAAATGATGCTCCTCTCTTGCCTAAACTTCTAAATTAGTTTTGTGGTTGGTCCCACTGTCAGCCTTGCCCCCTTAGGAGTTCTCTTAATTCAGCAGTCATAACAGTATTTAAGAAATTTAAATCCAGACTTCTTAGACCCCTGTTTAAATATAACTTCGGCTATTCTTTCTGATAGAATGCTGTTCTTTTCCTTAACACATTTCTTACACATCTATTTCAAAATGTGCATTCATATATATATACACATGCCTAGCTTGTTTGTCTCCACATCTTGACTGTAAGCTTGACAAGGGCAAAAATTTGTCTTTTTTGACAACTGCATGCTCAGCAACAAGCACATAGCAGATACTCAATAAATACTATTGAATAAATATACTAGACAAAGTATACTTAATCTTCTTTATCAGCAAAGTTTTGTTACAATTGAAGTTCTCTAAAACGTTGGGTAGATAAAATAAATCCCATGTATTTAACCACATTAGTCAATAGTTCCAGGAAATTCAGAGTAATACAAGACAGTTCCCTATTCCATCCTTATTCCCCCTCGAGAACAATTTCCAAAAAGTACATTCAATGTTAATGCTTAGCACCTAAAATTGGTAGCAGCGGGTGTTTCGGCAGGCCTCACTATGGACTACAGTCTGATGGCCTGGGTCCCTGGAGCAGGGCTAATCTAGTAGAGGTTTTAACACCCGTCTTTATCAAGGGTTCAATGTCTATGGTCAAAAATGGAAGCTTATTTCTCCTTGACCCATCTACTTGAGACCCCCCTCACCAAAAAAAAAAAATTGATTGCAAAGTAGAGATACATATACATATACATGTTTTCAGTTATCAGTGGCTAATGAACACTAGCAGGCCTTATCTTTTAAAGAAGACCAACATCTGTACTTAATACAGATTTTATTTAAGCAATATAATACAGTACTTAAATCAGTCCTATTTATCATTCACTTTTTCTTAGTTATCATTTTTTTAGTTATAAACACTACCTACACATTTAGGAGAAAAACTCTTTAAGATTTTAATAAATTAAATGCCAATCACCCCTATAAGTAAGATTAAACAAGTAAAAAAAAGTTCTGTCTTAAACCTTTTTAAAATTGTATTATATACACAGGTGGGATAATTGGGTTGCTGACTAAATGCTAGAATAAATAACTGAAAAAAACTTTTTAGAATATTTGCCTTTTAAAATTATCTATGCTATGCTTTTCATTGACAGTATTGTTTCCTATGGATAAAAAACCTTCTTTCCATTTGGTTCAAGAGGTATTATTTTGAGAGTAGTGTGAACTATTACTGTGTGTCCTTGAAAACGTTCTAAATATATTTGGACTATCAGGTTGCTCTTTTGTTATTACTAGTTGGTAAAGTATATTTAGTCTCTGGTAACATATTATAGCACTCACGTTGTAAGACAGGTACAGATGTGCTTTAAAAAGTAAGGGTCACTCATTAATTTTGTACTCAAACTTCTATGAACTCTTCCTAATTTTTTTCTCACTAGTGTTAGCCAGACATTCTTAAACACAATTGATATTTAACCCTTCAGCCCTAAAACTGGTATTTTTCTCTATTTATGTAACTTCATAGAAAGAGATAAGGCTTTGTAAGTCAGGTAGGTGTGGTCAAACCTAGGCTCTGACAAGTTCAGAGTTACCTTGAAAATCTGTGTTAAACTGTAGGTATTCCTGCTGTCTTTCCTCTATGATACTAATGCCTACCCACAGGGTTGTTGTGAGATTTAGATGACAATGCAGTACACCCTTTATATCCACGGATTCCACATTTATGGATTCAACCACCATCAGATCGAAAATAAAACAAAAATTGCAACAATAAAAATAAAAATATAGTATAACTACTATTTACATAGCATTTATATTTTAGTAGGTAGTATAAGTAATCTAGAGATGATTTAAAGTAGAGAAGTCTGTCCATCAGTATCTGTGAGAGATGGTTTCCAAGTCCTCCCTGAGATACCAAAATCCGTGGATACCTAAGTCTTATTTAAAAATGTACAGTGTATGCATATAACCAATGCACACCCTCTTGTACATTTTAAATCATCTTTAGATTACTCATAATACCTAACATAATGTAAATGGTATGTAAATAGTTGTTACACTGTATCATTTAGAGAACCCTGGCAAGAAAAAAACTCTGTACATATTCAGTACAAATGAAATTCTTCCAAATATTTTTGATCAGTAATTGGTTGAATTCACAGATAAGGAACACATGGATAGAGGGCCCACTGTGTACAGGAGGATGTGCATGCGTTATATGTAAACATGATTCCATTTTATATATGGGAGTGGAGCATCAGCGGATTTTGGTATCCGTGGGTGGATCCTCGAACCAACTCCCTTCAGATACCAAGGAATGAATGTACATGTATATCAACAAATGTCAAAACTGTCACATATTAAGTGCTAATGGATAGCAATTATTTTTATTATTTCATTTTGTAAAGGTGAAACATTTTCGAGGCTTTCATATAAAGTCTGTATAAACTCATAGTGAATTCACCTTGAAGACTTAATTAAGATTCTACTGTTAATTCTTGTTAGGTCTTCCAAAATTGTCCATTGCAAAGCCATTTGTTTATTCTGGGCTCAGTTACTCATCTAGCTAGTTATTTCCATCTTTAGGACTCTATATTTTTCTCCTTCTTTTAAACTTTTGATGTTCTTATAATTGTATTCCTTATACCTAACATGACTATAGGTATGTTTGTGTATATATATATACACACACACACAAACACACTTATATATGTATGTTTGTGTGTGTATATATATACACACACACAAACACAATACTTTCTACACACAAGCTGTCTTTTAGCATGCAAAATCAGATGCTGTAATAACAGACATTCACTTTTCACATAAATATTTTGAATTATACATTTTATATTCAAAGACAAGGAGACCTCCTAATTATCTCAAAATAAAAGAAAAAATGTACTTTGTTCACAGTATAATTTTGTTTCTTTCCATGTAACAGAGAAAAGGGACAAAATAAAAGGAGCCACTCATAAGGTTTAAAAAAATTGGTTGTAATAGTGCCTGGCTTTTAAATCCAGGAAAATAGCAATGAAAAATCACAGTGATCAAATTTGGCCTGAATAAAGCTCTGTGTAATTAGTACATTACACATAATGATAATTATCTTGTATTTAATTTAATTTAATTTATTTATTTATAAATGACTGCCATATTGCGCCTGGATACTTTGCAATAATTAAAATAATTTTAAAAGTACAAAATGAGTCTTAAATTAAAAAGACTCACTAATTTCCAAGTCTGATAAAATAAGCTCAACTACTTAAAAGCCCAGAAATCTTATTTTCAGCCTGTACTGGGCTACGAATCCTGGCATATCTACTTCTAAGATAGAGTGATGTCCAGATACATAGGGATTTTACTAGTAATTCTATTTGAAGAGCCAAAATGTAAGTGGTGGCAAAATTTAACTGTGAAAACATGATTATAGAAAAATAATTATAGAGCTATATCCCTAAGGGATTGTTTTTTAATAATTTCATTTATCAACTATAAAATGAGGACCTGCTATACATTAGACAATATCCTCTGTACTACAGAGATAATTTTTCTTCAGGTATGTTTTTCTTATACTCATTGTTCTTAAACTCTTACCCAAACGGTAAGATTAAATCAAATTGTGTTAGAATAACAAAGTGGTATTAGAAAAACTACCAAATAATGAAATAACATTTCAAAGAGGAAAAACATTAACTCATTAAAAACATTAAATCTGGCTTAATATAAGAACTAAAAATTTGTATTTCTTAATGAGATTATAGTAAATATTAAGTAATAGCTAGAACATCAAATATCATATAGATTGTAAACAAAAAAATATATAAAGATTTAGATTAGGGCAAGAAGGATATTACAGTCCATAATGGATAAACACATATAAACTAGGATAATGTATATGCAGAGAATATAATATTTTAATGATTCTTAATAGAAAAATATGAGAACTGATTTTAAGATGATGGCATTTTAAGATTGGTATTTTGTTTTATTTATATTTTCCAAATCTAGGCTCTTATGCTCAGGTGAGTAGCGAGACACAGTTTAGCAAATTACAAATTCCTGAGGTCAGTGAATCCTAGAGGAAGGTCACAGGTGTCTTCTGAGCAGAAGAATAGGGGTTTATAAAAAATCACAGTGAACTGTTGTATTCATCAAGACTCTTTGCATGAAAACAACATTGAGAACATTGGAAGAAAACAGTTCATATGCTATGTTGAATGGCAACATTCCTGAAGTATTAAAGGAAACTCAAAACATTTATCATAGCAATAATTTTCTTTGTTGTCAAGTTGTTTTTCAATGCTAATTCAAATTTACTATTCTAGATTAATAAGAATTTCACTTTTGTAATCTTTTAAGAGCATAATTGATTTAATGAAATTAAACCACCTAAAAATACATTCCCTCTCTTCCATCAGTTTTTGATTCTTGCCATTTCTGATCCCTGGTCATCATGTTAAAAATAAAAGCAAATGCAAGGACAATTATGATGATTTTGAAGAAAACACTATTTAAATGCTATATGTGTAATAATAATAATAATAATAATAATAATGAACATTCATATAGCTTTCATAGTGTGCAATCTTATCAACATGCCAACACTAAAACCCTAAGAGGTAACACTCATACATTTGACATTTGGTCACAAAGGGATACGTTTTGTGTCAACAAAATTATGTCCTCTTCTGTAAGATAATTCCATTAGCACATCTCAGGGCATAGGTTATTAGAAAATGTAATACTTAAAAAAAGCTGAGGTTAATTTTGTTCCATTTAGTTTCTTGTATTGTTGGAAATGAATAGAAATCATGTATTTGTCTGATTTGTCTGCATGATTTTGATTTCACAATATCAGAGTAGTAAGCCATCAATATTTACTGCAGTGTTTTCCAATAGGGAAAAATATTATAAAGATAAACATGCATAACACTTATAAATGAGGCAAGATTTACCAGCAAGAAAAACTGAAAAGTGGAGAAATTACAAAGTTTCATTAATTATTTCAGGAAAATAAGAAATTATTTCTTATTGGAAATATAACTCCAAACTTGTATTCTTGGTAGTCAATTCAGTTATTCAACATTGGAGAGTGCCTCTTCCAAGAAACCCTGGTGTCTCTCCTGGATTGATTATAAAGGGCCTGCAAAACAGGTATTTTTGTTTTTGACTTATGTTCATCTTATCACAGTAGTCAAGAATTAAAAAACAAAACAAAAAACCAAAGTCAAATCATGGCATTCCTCACCTTAGAACCCTTCAATGGCTGCTCTTTCATTTCTAGTAAAAGACCATGTCATTGCTATGATCCGTCAAGCACTATAGAACCTTCACCCACTTATGCTTTGTTTCTCTCACCTCAGTCCTTGCTACAGGCTTTCTCACTTGCTGTTGTCATAGCTGTCACCTTATTGTTCTCCAAACCCACTAAGTATGTTGCTATTCTCCATGCCTTGAATATTTTGGCCATTTCCCTAGATATCTGGAGACCTGTTTCTTTACGTCCTTAAGTCTTTACTGAAAATGTTACCTTGTGTGAAAAGTTTTGTGATGAACTTATTATAAATTGTGCTTCTCACACACATCCTAAACAACTTGTTCTATAATCCCTCTTAGCAGTATTATTTTCTAACATATTATATATTTTTTCTCATTGTGGTGAAGCATATCATTGTTTTTAAATATTCATTATTTACCCCAGGGAAGATTATACTTAATAAATCTGTTGACATTAGTTTTAGACCTATGACTTGTTTAGGATGACAAATTATGAGCAAAATTAATATAAGTAAATCTAGGCAGAAGCTTAAATAATCACTTTGTGCTTTTCCACTTTTTAAACACTGACACTATGACCATTAGTGTTCAGATTAAGTGGCAATTTTAGCCTTAGTTCTCATATGGAAAGCTGTAGAGCAGAGCTACTATTGACCCACATTGCACACATAGCAGAAGAAAGAAACAAATATTTGTCATTGTAAAACACTGATAATTTAAGATTTCATCAGTCAGGATCCAGTCACAAGTTAATCAAATGGAAATTTTAGTATTAAAAATATTAATAATGAATTGGAGTAATGGAATATTGACTAGTGCAAGTTAAAGATAATTCTATTTTATTTTATTTCTTTTTTTTTTTTTTGAGACAGAGTCTCACTCTGTCACCCAGGTTGGAGTGCAGTGGTGTGATCTCGGCTCACAGCTAACTCTGCCTCCAGGGTTTGACTGATTCTCCTGCCTCAGCCTCCTTAGTAGCTGGGATTACAGGTTTGCACCACCGCACTTGGCTAATTTTTTGTATTTTTAGTGTAGATGGAGTTTCACCATGTTGGCCAGGCAGGTCTCAAACCCCTGACCTCAAGTGATCCACCCACCTCAGCCTCCCAAAGAGCTTGTATAACAGGCGGGAGCCACCACCCCTGACTGATTTAAAGATAATTCTAAAGATAATTTCTTT